>NC_000006.12:160828365-160979880 GCF_000001405.40 Homo sapiens
ACATACTATTACACATCTACAGAAATAAAAGTAGACAAGGACAGGAAAAGGGCTTATGGAAAAAAATTTAATCCTGGAATTTTAAAATTTTTTGTTGCCAGGGTAACTTACACCTAAGAATAGAATAAAGTTGTCTGGCTGGCATTTTGGAGAATAGAATCATAAAGCTTTTCAAGTCAAATTTATAATATATAAGACTGTAGCAGAAAAGGAGTTTGCTTTAGGATAGAAGCCTCATGGAAATTAGACGAAAACTAGCGAATCTATCAGTAAGGTTTATCTCAGCCTCATCTCAAATAGGAAACGGCTGGGCTTGATGTTGTATAAGAACTTGAATCCTCCTGTTGGTTAAAGGAGAACTTCCTAGACTCCTCTGGTAATCAAGACAATTATAAATTTTGATGAGAAGATGGTTACTCAAGCCAAGAAGCATGAGAAACTCAAAATATTTGAAATACGAAGATTATGCTATATAAGAATTTAGCCCACTAGTTGAGAGGCCTTATTTTGACCATGAAAAAATTTTACAGAACAGTAGTGTTCAAAGTGTCAAAAGGACAAGGGAAGAAAATTAACTAAAAAAAAATCAATTTTGAATTATTTACTAAATTATTATAGATATGAATAACATTGGAATTGCAAAAAGGTTATAACCTGAAAAAAATTCATTGAAAATATTCCCAGAGTTAAAAATCTTTGGAGAATTTCAGAAAATTGATTGGAATCAGTTTTAAATCATGTAGGATCCACTCAAGCATGTGGCCTTACCGAATCAATGTATCAGCTTCTTCCTCCAGAGATTAGTAGTTTTCTGCAGAGAAGATTGGACTAGCTGGTTTCCTCATGCTGTGTTTCATGGTAGTTCACACTCAAAAGTGAATTTTACATCTTAGGATCCATACAACTCCTCTTCGTTAATACAATTTACTGGGTTTACAACAGTTTTCTTAAAGTGGTTCGCAGACCAGCAGCTTAAGGATCACCCCAGACCTGCTGAACGCTAGAGCTACCGAAAGAGAAAGTCCTAAGGTGGGGCCAATAATTGGTGTTTTACCAAGACCTCCAGGTGATTCTCATTAACTTAAAGTTTGTGATCCTCTGGGCCAGAGATACAGAGACTGACATTTAATCTGGAAATTTGATTGTAAGGCTGACATTTCCAGAAAAATAGGTGATTATACTTGATATAAAAGACGTGGTAACATTGTTCTTAAAATGTTAACAAATGCCTTCAGAAAGCACATGAGTTTGGAGATGGAGGGAGAGAAATCAAATGGAGGGGGCAAAAGAGAGAGCAAGGAAAAATCAAATGGAGAGGGAGAAAGGGAAGGAGGAGGGTCATATGATGGGCAGAGAAACCAGATTGAAAGAGAGAAATCAGATGGGGGGAATTCCACATGAAGGGAGATACAACTAATAGAAGGAACCGGATAGAGGAAGAAAAGAGTGGTGGAGAGAAAGAGGGGCACCTGATTTAAACTGCCCCCAGAATATTCTGCTTTTAGCGGGATTAACTCTGCATCCCTGGGAAAGTTTAGACAGATCAGTTCCTTTACTTCTCACTGTGTGAAGAGTTAGAGGTAGGACTGAACATTTTGAAGTGAGGAAACCCAGAGGATTTTTTATATTTCAGTGGAAAGAAAAAGACACTATAGAAAATATAGGCCTTGCTGATAATATGGGCTTGTGAAGATTGTGTTGGGTTTAATTTGAAAAGTGAAAGAAACAAAATAGTGTTTAACCCCACCTGGAGAAGTGGGCCATACCAATTTTCTATTACGTTCCAATAATAAGTATTATGTTTCCTAATAACAACCTGCTTTTGTTAATTTTTCTGTAATAAATAATTTATATTTTTCACACTAATTTTATAATTAGCACAAAAGAAAATAAGATATCAACACTTCCTTCTCCTTTGCACCACACACTTCAGCCTCCTGCCTCTCTCCCCTGACCCCCACAAACACCAACTCGGCAATCTGTTGCTTTCTAATGGCCATTGGTTGGAAGCTCATTGGGATGTTCTTAGGAAAGTCTTGCTTCTGATGCATTGGAAGTAGTCCAAAATTTCTGAAATGCCAAGCATTTTGGTTTTAAATTTATTTCCATGTTTTAATTTTCTGGTTTATTTTTAATTTATATTTTCATCAAATACTATGTAAATATTCCTACAATAAATACAAATATTTCTTATAGAATATAGTGTCTTCAGAAAGTAAAATATTATAGTGCCTTTCCATTTCTAACTTATCATGCCACCTATATGTAACTACTTTAAGATGTTTAACTATTTCTGTGTTTTTGTTTATCTCAATATTTCCAAATAAAATACTTTACATTTATTACTTAATTAAAAAAACACATTTAGACATTATTCATTGACTTTATCCTATGGAAGAGAAGTATTTAAATTTCTTACTCTCCTCTTTACCCCAAAACAGACACACACATACACACACATAAACACACACACACACACAGATACACACACCAAGCCCTTATTTCATTCTCCCAATATAAAATTAGGTTAATTTTGTGATAAATTAATATTCATTTTATATAATTATGACTTTAGTGATATCATTTATAGCTGAAAGAGGTAGTATGCATTTACTTTTACAGAACATTTTTGTTTTTCTGGCAGTTATTAATCACTTTAGTTTTGTTTACTTATTCTAAGTACCCAGTCATAATTACTTCCCCATATACCTCAATATGCAAAATACACTGGATATTCTCTCAGCCTCAGTCTTTTTGTCCTTAGAAGTGCCTCTTCTGAAGGGGTAGATCCTAGATCCGCAGTCTCACTGCAGTGTCTTCCGGGGTGACTCTTCACCTTCATCCTGGGAAGGTTTACCTCCTATTTTCTGGTTTGGATCCTCAGTTTCCTAAATTCCTCATCTTTTTCCTTACTTGACTTCCTATTTTAAGTGAAGTGTATTATTTTTAGGTTGGACCTCTTGAGAACTAAAAATATGCACACATTGTAGATCTGAAAACCATTTTTTTTCTACCTTTCTCTTATTACCTTGAGGGCAGTAATCTTAAGTTTTGGAGTTTTTTTCAAAAGTTTAACATGCTCCTCATCTTTGTATTTCCTCTGAATTCTCTCCCCACCTTCCAACCCCCAACTGACTTTGGTCTGTCGCTGTGAAGTTAGAGAATTTCTTAACATATATTGTTATGCTTCACTCTCCACTTATATTGAAAAATAAAAAACCAAAAACTGTGGTTTGAAATTCCATGTATTCATTGTGAGTGGCTTTCCAGCTACTAACTTTATTGCACTGTGATCAAGCAGAGACCTGGCTGATTTGTTTAAGAACTCTCTCTCTTGGAGTCTGTATTCTTTTTCCTAGAGCCAGTCAGTCAGTGACAGTCAGTGGAAGTGGCCTGGTCACCCACATTTTTAGAGCAGAATAGGGAAAAAGACCTTGTTAGCTTTGTTTTGTGAGTAGCCTTTTACTTAATTTCTCCTCTATAGTATTGCACCACATCCCTGGGCTCTGTGTACTGCTCAAGAATGCAATGGGCTGTTCACACAGGATAAAAGAGAGAATTCAGGAGTTTAACTGTTTGCTCATAAAGCTTTCAACCAGTTCTTTGATTTTCAGTCTCGCCATGGTCCCACCCTTAGGAATGACTGATGAGTACAATGCCTGTCTTTTGAGTGTTCAGCTAGTTTAGTGGCTTTCTCTCTGCTACCCACTTAGTTTGATGGTTCTAATCTGTTGAGTAATCTACTTATTTATTCTACTGTTTCCTCTCCCATGCTCTTTGTTCCCTTTGATCGTAATTTTAATAGGTTTTAGAAAAAATAGAAAACCATGTACTACATTGGCCATATTTAACAGGAGTACCTATAAATTTATCTTTAAATTAAAATGATACCATTTTGTCTAATGTACTGTAAATAATTTTTCTAGATGCTTGAATGTCTTTGGAATGTATGCCTTTATAAATTTTACATTTTAATATGACACCTTATCTGTTTTTCCTGTAACTGCTTCTCAATCTTCTGTCATATTTAGAAAAGCCTCCCCATTTTAAGATGTACAAATACTCACTCTCATTCTCTTCTAGAAAGTGATAGTTTTATTTCATAAATCAGTAGTCTGATAAATTTTTAATTGGTGTAATTTCTTTTCCACCATTGATTAGAAATGCTATTTATATTAAAATAAATTCATATAGATAAGTACATATATTTATATATAAGGTATACATATGCGTATGACTCATGTATGTGAGTCATAGTCTCCCTCAGTAGGTGTTGATTTAACACCCCAGAACATATTTTAATACCTTGTTTTAATGTATTTTCTCAAACTCGTATAGTTTTTTCTTTCTTTCAACTTTTATCCTCTATATATACATAGTAAAACAAGTTTTATTTTTGTTTTATATGAGACCATATAGAATTTATGTCTGAATTTAGAGTTTAAAACATTGAGACTTTCTACCCAAGAACATGCAAAGCAATTGAAAGCATTTAATATCTTTCTTAAATCCTTTATTATAATTTTGAGATTTTCTTTTGTTATGCATTTATAACAGTTTATTCCTAGGTATTTTATCTTTTGGGTTACTATTATAAATAAGATATTTTATTTCATTTTATTTTCTAAGTGACATTTATTTCTTATTGGAAATCTATACATTTCTCATGTTAATTTTTCAGTAGACCACAATATAAAATTATTTTATTTCTAACAGGTTTTTAAATCAATTTTTTAATTTTACTATATTTATAATCATATCATCTATAAACCACAATAATTGTGTTTCTTCCTATCCAATTTATACTTCATTTTTTGACTTGTTCATATACTTACCTACTTTCAGGAGCCTACATTAATAGCAGGCATTATTGATTGTAATGCAAAATGCTTTTAGTACATCAACATAAAGCTAAATAAAAACTACTTTTTATCTGGTTTATCACTTGCTGTCTTAAATTCCACCTTGATACATCAAGTCTGTAGTTCCAGCCTTGTTCTCATCGTGATCTCTCCAGTAAGTTTTTCTATTATATATTTTCTAATTCTTCTAAGTCAGATTGTTATAATGAACCTCTTAAACAACCGAGAATTGGTCTGTTTTAGTTTGATTTTTAAGGTAATTTCATAGATGTTAGTAACCAATATATCTTTTATGTGTTTATAATATTTTTGTTTTCTGTTTTGAAATGTGAATTGTGTTTTATTTCTTTATTTTGTGAATTGGTGATGTGATTTATTTCTTATAATTTTGAAATATTTGGTTTTGATCCTCTATAAGTTATACTTTTAAAGGTGCATAATCTACTTAGTTTTGTGCTTCTTGAAACAGATACACTAAAATCAATCAGACCAATATTTTCTGTTAATAATACATTTCCGGTTTTTGTAGCACACTCTTTACTTCATACAATGGAATTCATAATGTATCCTACCTACACACCTAATATTAAAAATTAACCAAGATAATTCCCTAACTCTAATATAAACAACATAAAAGGCCACTAATTTATAAGAGCACTATTTCTATGCAAAAATATTAAAGAATAACTGAACTAGAAGATACATTGCAGTGGTTAGCTGTTTGCACCCATACACAGAATTACCGTGGTTTGGCAGCCATAAATAAGGACTGATAATAGTCGTTTCCTAATAGACACTGAAGTAGGATGATGTATTTTTTTCAATATGGTTAAGAAATTCTAAGAAATTTCTGAATGAACAATAATATTTATTTCTTTAACATAAAAGATTCATTCCTGATATAGTCAATGATTATTAAAATTGTGTAAAAATATTTCATGCCAATATGTGATGTGAAATTCATATCTAGGCTTAGATATTTATATGTAGGTTTTATATACACATTAACATATGCTGCAACTTTTAGAAATTGTGCAATCCATGAAAAACGTTTTCTTTGCCTGAACTATTCTGTGCATTGAAAGATTTATAACTTTCATCATTCACTACCCACATGCTAAATGTCAACTGTTCCAGCCAATTATTCTGAATATTGACAATGACTCTAGAAATTGCCAAGGTGCCCCCAGAAGACAAAACAGTCCTCCTGAAAGCACTGAGCTAAAATAAATTTCTCCAATTTACAAAAGCACTCATCACCTTTCACCTAACCATGTACTAGTACGTCAAGCATTTTGTCATCATAATTAATAAATTCAAATAAATGGTAATATATATGTGTACATTGGTACTCAGTACTAAGATAAATGGCTATCACATTGAAAGCTTTTCAGTGAGAAGTACATCAATGTTGATAAAATATCAGTTTTGATGAAAATTATAGTGGCCTACACATTTTATTAAAAATTTGAAAGTATTCTGTAAAGAAATTTTCTTTGAGAAATTAAATTGGACTAAAATACTTTATGAATGTATTGCTAACTGCATTATTAAATATATAAATTTTAAAATATAGTTAAATTTGAAACAAGTGAATAATATGATAAAAAGTAAAAAGCAGAAGCCTACTGGGTAAAAATCTATAAGTTGAAAATATGATCTTATGTGAAAATATTATAATTATTAGTTTTTTATTACTTATATTTTTAATGAAAAAATTTTCTAGGAATAGAAAAAATGAAATGTATTACTTTACTTATTATCCTGAGTCCTAAAGTTATGACCCAAATGCCTTATAAACTGTGGATGCTCCACTAATGTTGCTTTAATATTGCCAACAAATGCATTTTAAACTTGAACAAGCTATGCTCAAGACAAAGGTCATCTTTTTAAATATTCTGCACAAAAGCCTGCAAGAAATTCCACGTCTTGGAAGATAATTTGAACAGCAATACAAAAAGATTATACCTATAAAAACTATTTAATTATAAATGAAAATAAAAATCTGGTTCAGGTAGTACAAAATTACATAACATGCATAAAAACATTTTATTGTTTGAGATATGAAATTAAAGTATGAAAAGTCATAAAACCTGAAGCTATAATATAGTCAAACTTTTATTTTAAATATATAATATACTTATTTGGGGAAAATATATGAAAGATAATTGTGTATAGATGAGTGAAGTTTCAACCCATACAAGAGTTGAAACTTTATTATCCAAAATCGCTTCATTTAATGAAGTTTATCATAAAAATTTTGGTATGCGTATGGGTAATACAATGATATGTACTCTAGAATTGCTTAAATGAACAATTTCTATATCATTTTACTGTCAGGATTTAAGAAGCAAGATTATTTGGTTTTCCAAGGCATAATAAAGGGTGAAAATATATCAGTGCATGTAAGTGCCTTGGACAAAAAGATTTAAACACTTGATCTAGTGGTATCAAGACTGGCCCAAACCCAAAAATATATTCAATATGGTGTTTTCATATGTAGTTCTATATCCTTTTTGTTTTGAAGTTAAAATGTAAGCACATAAAACTTTTACTTGAAGGCAGAAAAGTTTGCATAGTATAGCAAAAATAAATAAATAAACCTAAACTATTCAACTTGTTAATAAAATCACTGACATCATGGCAGAAATTACAATAGTCTTAGAATAAATAATTACTAGACTTCTTGGATAAGAAATAATTTAAGAAAATCCTGGTCAAATTATACTATATTTTTGTGGCAAATTCACATAAAGCTCTATTTATACAATCCTCCTGACTCTATAGAAATAGTTTCCGAAACTATACCTGATTTTCTTATGGACTTTTAGATTTTACACTTTGAAATAGAACTTTTGCTTCTAACTGCAAATTATGTTTTGGTTAAATTTAACATTACACAGAAAATGTGAATTTCCTAAAATAGCCTGTAAAGGAAACAGGTTTAATTTAAAACTTCCAGAAAGAAAGCCAGAAGACACATTGCTATAATCAAGCAACTTGTATGTTCAGAAAGTGAAAAAATAATTACTTTAGTACTTTAAAAATGTGTTCACCTTCTAAATGAAATAGAACAACCATGGAATGTGTTCTGAAGAGTATATAATGTTACCTATGTATAGTACACTACCTGGGGACAGGTATCATGTCACATCGTCATAACGTTTTGAACAATATCTTCCAATTAGAGGATATTCAAAATAATAAATGTACAAATGAATATATTTTATTCTGTTATAATATTTCTGGTAGCAAGTAGGGATTGGTGACTTAGACATAAATTTGAGGCTTCAAAAAGAGGTGGGATTCATGAACACTTCACAGTCTGGGCCTGGTATTAAGAAATTATCATCCCATACTTAGCAAATCTTTCCGGTCTTAAGTAACAATATGGCTGGTGTGATTTTTTTTTTTTTGGATCATTACACATTTTATAAATTCCCAGAAATTTATTTTGTTACGTTTAAAACAAATGAAGTTTTGGTTTTTTTGATAGTCTTTATTGTTTATCTGTATTTTGTATTATTAATTTTACTCTTCATTTTATGATTTCCTTCTTTCTACTTATTTTATTTAGGTTTAGTTTCCTCTCTTGTCCATTGTGTTGAGGTGGAAGTTTAGGCTATTGAGGTATTTACAGCTGTAATTTTTTTTCCAAGCACTGCATCACCCACATCCCATTAGTTTTGGTATCCGTTTTCGGTAATCTCAAACTCTTTTCCAATTTCTCTTGTAATTTCATTTTGATCCATTGTTTAATATAGATTCTGTTATTTAACTTCCATATAATTGTAAATTTACCAAGTTACTTGTTTTTGATGTTTAATCTCATTCAGTTTTGGTTAGATGTCCTTTTCATTATTTCAATTTTTTGAAATACATTACAGTTTCTTTTGTAGCACAGCGTAGCATACGGTCTATCCTGGAAAATGTGCCATGTTGTTGGGTAATGTGTTTTATAGCTATCTGCTATTTCTAGATGATTCACAGTGTTGTTCACAGGCCTTGTCTGTGTCAGCGCTACCTGCGGTGTGTGGCAGCTGCACGCCCCTTCCCTGTGGCAGAGCTGGCTAGAGCCACTGCCTGAAGAAACTCGGCTCTGTCCTCCGCTCCGGGGAGGAGAATGTGGCCAGTGGATGCTGAGTTCCTTCTGTTGCCTTCCGCAGCCCACAGCTAAGTCACTCTGAAGAGCATCTCGCTGGCCTGCGCTTCTGCTTCCCGTTGCCTTCTAGGCGGTTCTGACCGTGACATCCCTTTGCTCCTCCGCTTGTGCCCTTGAATCCTACATTAAGGGAAATGGGGGTTCTGTTTTGAAACAAAATGAGAAAGAATCATAACCTTCAACTTCAAAACACTTCCAGTCTCCTGAAGATTTTTCAGATTCAGAGATCTCCACCCATTTTCCCAGAGTCCTTGAAATGTTTCCTGGAGCCGCGCCTCTCCCAGTGCTCTGGCTGGAGACAGTAGCAGGGGCTGTCTTCCTCTGCGTCCTCGTAAGCACCCAGTTTGGGGTGGAAGAGGCAAAAAGAAAACCCAGGAACGCCCCACCCTATCGTTCTCAGGGTCCCCAGGGTCGCCCGGCTCCCCCGGGCTTCCTCTCTCCGCCTCTCGTCTTCCTGAGTTTGTTTGATGGGCACTGCCCGAGGTTTCCAGTTGCACCTGCGGGAAGGAGGAAACTGCACACCTGTTCCATCTTCTTAGGAGGGGAAGTCTGAGGCTTTTTGAATGACCACCGTGTAGCGCCTTAATTCTCCTTCACTTTCAGCAGTTTTGTCTGCCCCACCTCAGGAAGACTGTCTGTGTTCTTTCCTCCATAGCCCGGGCACCGAAGGCACATGCCGTGCATATAAGCTTCCTGTCTCGTTTGAGACTCTACTTGAGCTCATTATTGCTTCAGTTTAATCTGCGCACGTTTCACCCTAGGAGAGTACTGCCCAGATGTGGCAGCTTTTTCTTACAGATGGTCCGAGGCTATTCTTGCCCTAAAACTTCAGATGCTCACATAAAACCATCCTTCCTAACAACACAGGCTTTCCCATTTCTACGAGGTTGACCTTTACACCTGAAGAGTCATTGAAGCCCAGCTGGTGATAAAGAAGTGAATATTTCAAAAAATGGAGGGAGGATAGAATCTGGTCTCTCGTTTTCAGGTGATTCCAGTTGCTTGATTCAGTCTCGCTGGAATGTCTGAGCATTTGTGGAAAAAGCCCTTAACTCGATTTGCCAAACCCCATAAAGTAGGAGCTGAACTGACATTTAAAATTGGAACAGCCTTCATTTTGGGAGGCCGAGGCGGGCGGATCACCAGGTCAGGAGATTGAGACCACGGTGAAACCCCGTCTCTACTAAAAATACAAAAAAGTAGCCGGGCGCAGTGGCGGGCGCCTGTAGTCCCAGCTACTCGGGAGGCTGAGGCAGGAGAATGACGTGAACCCGGGAGGCGGAGCTTGCAGTGAGCTGAGATCGAACCAGTGCACTCCAGCCTGGGTGACAGACCGAGACTGCGTCTCAAAAAAAAAGAAAAGTTGGAACATCCTTCTGGTGCTTGCAGTCTTACTTGTGTCCTTTAAATCTTTCCTGGAACAGGGTTGAGACCGTATAAATGTATAAATGCATGCAAACAGGCAATGAACAGTGTTCATTCCAGCCTCATGTCGAAACCCCTGGAACATGTTTTCTCTCTTGTCTTTTTTTCCTCACTCCATGCAGGTCAAGTCATAGGCCTTTTTCTTTTTCTTCTTTTTTTTTTTTTTTGGTCAGATTCTCACTGTGTCACCCAGGCTGGAGTGCAGTGGCGCAATCTCGGCTCACTGCAACCTCCACCTCCCAGGTTCAAATGATGCTCCTGCCTTAGCCTCCCCAGTAGCTGGGATTACGGGCACGCCCCCACACCCAGCTAAAATCATAGGCTTTGTCAGCTGTACCCGCAGCCTCCCTGTGCACCCAGCCACGGTTAGAGGGCGCTGTCTTGACGCTGACACTGACCCTTGCTCTTTGCCGTTGTGCCGCTCACTCTGCATCCCTATTCGCAGCAGCTTAGTCTTGCCTCTTTCAAAAAAATTTTAACCAACAATAATTGTATATATTTATTAGGTACAATGTGAAGTTTTGATATATGTTTTCATTGTGGAATGATAGAATCAAGCTAAATAACTTATTACTGCACAGACATCTTTTTTTGTGAAGAAAACATTGAAAATATGTTATTTTAGCAATTTTGAAATATACATTATTATTGACTGTCGTCAGCATGCTCTGCAGTAGATCACTAGAACTTCTTTTAAAAAAGTAACACATTTAACTTTATTTCTTCATTTTTCACTTAAAGCTTGATTTTATAAAACATAAATTTTTTCAAGAGTTCTGTATCACAAGACATTAAACCGCAGAAATATCCATTGCTTCATAGGTTCAAGTTATATAAATTAAATCTGTAAATTTATTCAATATGGAAAGCTATATGATGAAATAAATGTCAAAAGGACCCAATAGAGCAATATTGCATTGCTTATGGATTATTAGTTACTTACAGGATCTAAACAAAGATTCTAAATATTTAGGCTTCTTTCATTGTATTTTATATTTAAATATCTCCCTACCTGTACTGAGTCAAGCTACTTGACCAAAATGTCTGATTTAAGGAAGCATTTCATTTTATAGCAAAAGTTTTTCCATCTACAGTTACCATCTGCAAAGGAATTTACATTACAGTGCTGACAAAAACCTCCTGGTTCCTTTTGAACAATGTGCAATAAATTCATTATGTCAACCCCATGGTAAGTCAAACAGATATCAAAAAATCGGAACAATTACACAAAGTTCAGTAAAGTATAATATTGGTTTTTCCCATGTAAACATTAATCAATGAAATGAAACATATCAGCTATAGTTGACTTGGTTTCAGGAAAACCACATTTGAAAATTACATTATCTTCCTAGTGTCATCCTTGGTCATTGACAAGATTTTGTCATGCTGTGAGCTGTGTGGATGTAGCAGTAAATGAATAAAGGCAAACTTCCTCAGAATGGTTATGAACTGTGGTCCCCACTCTTCCCGTCTTCCAGGTACAACCAGATCTTTGCATAAATCAAAGATCAAATGAACAAGAAACTTCCACCAGTGTCAGAAATGTCACTAACTGTGGGGCATCTGATTGCAGGATGGATTTTGTCCTGGATAGCTTTCTGAGGCTTTTCTCAGGGTCCACTGTCGTCTTTTCTCAGGGTGCACTGTCTTTTCTCTGGGTTCACTGTTGCCTTTTCTCTGAGTGAACCATCATCTTTTCTGTGGGTTCCACATCGTCTTTTCTCAGAGTTCACCATTAACATTTCTCTAAGTTCACTGTCATCTTTTCTCTGGGTTCACTGTTGCATTTTCTGTGGGTTAACTGTCGTCTTTCCTCTGGGTGAACCATCATCTTTTCTCTGGGTTCACCTTTGTCTTTTCTCTGGGTTCACTGTTACATTTTCTTTGGATTCACTGTTGTCTTTTCCGTGGGTTCACTGTTGTCTTTTCTCTGAGTTCACAGTCGTCTTATCTCAGGGTTCACTGTCGTCTTTTCTCTGGGTTCACCGTCGTTTTTTACCTGGGTTCACCGTCATCTTTTCTCTGGGTTCACTGTTGTCTTTTCTCTGGGTTCACTGTCGTATTTTCTCTGGGTTCATTGTCGTCTTTTCTCAGGGTTCACTGTTGTATTTTCTCTGGGTTCACTGTCATCTTTTCTTTCGGTTCACTGTCGTATTTTCTCTTGGTTCACTGTCATCTTTTCTCAGGGTTCACTATTGTATTTTCTCTGGGTGCAAGGTCATCTTTTCTCTGGGTTAACTGTCATCATTTTTCTAGGCTCAATGTCATATTTTCTCTGGGTTCACCGTCGTCTTTTCTCTGGGTTCGCCGTCGTTGTTTTTCTGGGTTCACTGTCATATTCTCTGGGTGCACCATCATCATTTCTCTGGGTTCACTGTCATCTTGTCTCTGAGTTTATTGTCAAATTTTCTCTACGTTCACCGTTGTCTTTTCCATGGGTTCACTGTCATATTTTCTCTGGGTTCACCATTGTCTTTTCCATGGGTTCAATGTCTGTTCTCTGGGTTCGCCATCGTCTTTTCTCTGGGTTCACTGTCATCTTTTCTCTGGGTTCACCGTCATCTTTTCTCTTGGTGCCATCATTTTTTTCTCTGGGTTCACTGTCATCTTTTCTCTTGGTTCACGGTCTGTTATCTAGTTCACTGTCATCTTTTCTCTGGGTGCACTGTCTTCATTAATCTGGGTTCACTGTCATCTTTTCTCTGGGTTCACCGTCGTTTTTCTGGGTTCACTGTCAAATTCTCTGGGTGCATCATCGTCCTTTCTCTGGGTTCACTGTAATCTTTTCTCGGGGTTCACTGTCAAATTTTCTCTACGTTCACCATCGTCTTTTCTAGGGGGTTCATCGTCATCTTTTCTCTGGGTTCACTGTTGTCTTTTCTATGGGTTCACTGTTGTCTTTACTCTGGGTTCACTGTTGTATTTTCTCTGGGTGCAAAATTGTCTTTCCTCTGAGTTCACTGTCATCTTTTCTCTGGGTGCATGATCATCTTTTCTCTGAGTTCACCATCGTTGTTTTTATGGGTTTCCGGTCATATTTTTTCTGGGTTAACTGTCAAATTTTCTCTACATTGACCATCGTCTTTTATCTGGGTTCACTGTCATCTTTTCTTTGGGTTCACTGTCATCTCTTCTTTGGGTTCACCATCGTCTTTTCTCTGGGTTCACCGTCGTCTTTTCTCTGGATTCACTTTTGTCTTTTCTCTGGGTTCACTGTTGTCTTTTCTCTGGGTTCACTGTTGTCTTTTCTCTGGGTTCACCATCGTCTTTCCTCTGGATTCACTGTCATCTTTCCTCTGGGTTTACTGTCGTCTTTTCTGTGGTTTCACCATCATCTTTTCTCTGGATTCACTGTCGTCTTTCCTCTGGGTTCACTGTTGTCTTTTCTCTGGATTCACCGTCGTCTTTTCTCTGGGTTCACTGTTCTCTGAGTTCACTGTTGTATTTTCTCTGGGTTCACTGTCATCTTTTCTCTGGGTTCACCATCGTCTTTTCTCTGGGTTCACTGTTGTATTTTCTCAGGGTGCAAGGTCGTCTTTTCTCTGGGTTCACTGTAGTCTTTTCTTTGGGTTCACTGTCATAATTTCTCCGAGTTCACTGTTGTCTATTCTCTGGGTGCACCGTCATCTTTTCTCTGGGTTCATCTTTGGTTTTTTTTCTGGGTTCACTGTCATATTTTCTTGGGTGTGCCATCATCATTTCTCTGGGTTCACTGTCATCCTTTCTCTGGGTTCCTGTCGAATTTTCTCTACATTCACCATTGTCTTTTTCTCTGGGTACATTGTCGTCTTTTCTATGGGTTCACTGTTGTATTTTCTCTTGGTTCAGCATTGTCTTTTCTCTGGGTTCACCATCAACTTTTCTCTGTTTTCACTGTCGTCTTTTCTCTGGGTTCACTATCATCTTTTCTCTGGGTTCACTTTGTATGTTCTATGGGTTCACCGTTGTCAATTCTCTGTGTGCACCCTCGTCTTTTTTCTGGGTTCACCATTGTCAATTCTCTGTGTTCACTATCGTATATTCTCTGGGTGTACTGTCATTTTTCCTCTGGGTTCACTGTCATATTTTCTCTGGCCCCACAGTTGTATATTCTCTGGGTCACCATTGTCTTTTCCCTGGGTTCACTGTCATCTTTTCTCTGGGTTCACCGTTGTCTTTGCTCTGGGTTCACAGTTGTCTTTTCTTTAGGTTCACTGTCATCTTTTCTCTGGGTTCACGGTCGTCTTTGCTCTGGGTTCATCGTCATCTTTTCTCTGGGTGCACCATCATTTCTCTGGATGCACCATCATTTTCTCTCTGGGTGGGTTCACTGTCGTATTTTCTTTCAGTTCACTGTCATATTCTCTGTGGGTGCACTGTTGTATTTTCTCTGACTTCACTGTCATCTTTTTTCTGGGTTTACCATCATCTTCAGTCTGAGTGTACTGTCATCTTTTCTCTGGGTTCACTGTCATCTTTTCTCTGGGTTTACTGTCATCTTTTTTCTGGTTTCACCTTTTGTCTGGGTTCACCATTGTCTTTTCTCTGGGTGCACTGATATCTTTTTATTGGCTGCACTGTCGTCTTTTCTCTGGGTTCACTGTTGAATATTCTCTGGGTTCACTGTGGTCTTTTTTCTGGGTTTACTGTTGTATGTTCTCTGGGTGCACTGTCTTCTTTTCTCTATGTGCATCATCGTCTTTTCTCTGGGTGTACTGTCATCTTCTCTCAGGGTGCACCATCATCTTTCTCTGCGTTTTTCTGTTGTATTTTCTCTGTGTTCACTGTCAACTTTTCCCTGTGTTCACTGTCGCCTTTTCTCTGGGTTCACTGTTGTGTTTGCTCTGGGTTCACAGTCGTCTTTTCATTAGGTTCACTGTCGTCTTTTCTCTGGGTTCACTGTCATCTTTTCTCTGGGTTCACTGTCGTCTTTGCTCTGGGTTCACCATGGTCTTTTCTCTGGGTGCACCACCATCTATTCTCTGGGTACACTGTCATCATCCCTCTGGGTGGGTTCATTGTCTTATTGCCTTTGGGTTCGCTGTCGTATTTTCTCTAGGTTCACTGTCATATTCTCTGTGGGTGCACTGTTGTGTTTTCTCTGATTTCACCATCGTCTTTTTTTCTGGGTTTACCATCAACTTTACTCTGGGTGCACTGTCTTCCTTTCTCTGGGTTCACCATCATCTTTTTTCTGGGTTCACCATCGTCTTTTCTCTGGGTGAACCGTTGTCTTTTCTCTGGGTGAACCGTTGTCTTTTCTCTGGGTTCACTGTTGTCTTTTCTCTGGGTTCACTCTTGTCTTTTCTCTGGAATCACTGTTGTATTTTGTATGTGTTCACCGTCATCTTTTCTCTGGATTCACTGTCGTCTTTATTCTGGGCGCACCATCGTCTTTTCTCTGGATGCACTGTCATCTTTCCTCTGGGTTTACTGTTGTATTTTTTCTGGGTGCACTGTCATCTATTCTCTGGGTACACTGATGTTTTTTCTCTGGGTTCACTGTCATATTTTCTCTGGGTTTGCCATCGTCTTTTCTCTGGCTTCACTGTCGTATTTTCTTGGGTTCACGGTCAGGGTGCCCTTTCGTCTTTTCTCTGGGTTCACCATCATCTTTTCTCTGGGTTCACTGTCATAGATTCTCTGGGTTTACTGTCGTTTTTCCTCTGGGTTTACTGTCGTTTTTCCTCTGGGTTCACTGTTGTATTTTCTTTGGATTCATTGTTGTATTTTCTCTGGGTTCACTGTTATCTTTTCTCTGGGTTCACTGTCATACATTCTCTGGGTTTACTGTCGTTTTTCCTCTGGGTTCACTGTTGTATTTTCTCTGGGTTCATTGTTGTATTTTCTCTGGGTTCACTGTTATCTTTTCTCTGGGTTCACTGTCATCTTTTCTCTGGGTTCACTGTCATCTTTTCTCTGGGTTCACTGTTATCTTTCATCTGGGTGCACCTTCATCTTTTCTCTGGGTTCACTGTTGTGTTTTCTCTGGGTGCAGCATCGTCTTTTCTCTGGGTTCACTGATGTTTTTTCTCTGTGTTCACTATCGTATATTATCTGGGTACACTGTCATGTTTTGTCTGGGTGCATCATCGCCTTTTCTTTGTGTTCACTGCCATCTTTTCTCTGGGCTAACTGTCATCTTTTCTCTGGGTTCATCATTGTCTTTTCTCTAGGTTCGCTGTCGTCTTTTTTCTGGGTGCAGCATCATCTTTTCTCGGGTGCACCATCGTCTTTTCTCTGGGTTCACCATCTTCATTTCTCTGGTTTCAATGTTGACTTTTCTCTGGGTTCACTGTTGTATTATCTCTGGGTTCACTGTCATGTTTTCCTTAGGTTCACATTCTTCTTTTCTCTGGGTTCACTGTTGTATTTTTTCTGGGTTCACTGTCGTCTTTTTTCTGGTTTCACTGTTGTCTTTTCTCTGGGTTCACTGTTGTATTTTCTCCAGGTTCACTGTCTTTCTGTCTGTGTTCACTGTCTTTTTCTGTCTGTGTTCACTGTCATCTTTTCTCTGGGTTCACAGTCATCTTTTCTCTAGGTGCACCTTTGTCTTTTCTCTGGGTTCACTGTCCTTTTCTCTGGGCTCTCCGTCACCTTTTATGTGGGTTTACTGCTGTATTTTCTTGGGGTGCATCGTCCCCTTTCATCTGGGTTTACTGTTATCTTTTCTCGGTGTTCACTGTCATATTTTCTCTGGATTCACCATTGTCAATTATCTGGGATCACCATCTTCTCTTCTCTGGGTGCACCGTTGTCTTTCCTCTGGGTTCTCCATTGTTGAAACTTTGGGTTCGCTGTCATATATTCTGGGTGCACCATCCTTTAAACTGTGAGTTCACTGTCATCTTTTCTTTAGGTTCACTGTCAATTTATCTCTGTGTTCACTGTCGCCTTTTCTCTGGGTGAACTGTCATCATTTGTATGGATTCACTGTTTTATTTTCTCTGGGTTCACCTTCATCTTTTCTCTGGGTTAATCATTTTCTTTTCTCTGGGGTCACTGTCATCTTTTCTCAGGGTTCACTGACATCTTTTCTCTGGGTTCACTGTCGTCTTTTCTCTAGGTGCACCATCATCTTTTCATTGGGTTCACTGTTGTATAATCTCTTGGTACACTGTAGTGTTTTTTCTGGGTGCATCGTCATCTTTTCTCTTGGTTCACTGTCATCTTTTTTCTGGGGTCACTGTCATATTTTCTCTGGGGTCACTGTTGCATTTTCCCTGGATTCACTGTCATCTTTTTTCTGGGTTCAATGTCATCTTTTCTCTGGGTTCACCATCGTCTTTTTCTGGGTGCACTATCATCTTTTCTCTGGATTGACCATCTTTTCTCTAAGTTCAGTGTCATCTTTTCTCTGGGTTCACCATTGTCTTTCTTCTGGGTGCAGTATCATCTTTTCTCTGGATTGATCGTTGTCTTTTCTCTGGGTCCACTGTCTGCTTTTCTCTAGGTGTGCCATTGTCTTTTCTCTGGGCTCACTGTTGTCTTTGCTCTGGATGCATTGTCATCTTTTCTCTGGAGTCACTGTCATATGTTCTCTGCGGTCACTGTTGCATTTTCTCTGGATTCAGAGAAAAGATGACAGTGCACCCTGAGAAAAGACCATGGTGCACCGAAAGAAAAGACAAGGGGGAACACAAAGAAAAAATGACAGTGAACCCGGAGAAAAGGCAATGGTGAACCCAGAGAAAATACAATTGTGAACCCAGAGATCATTAAAAAGTCAGGAAACAACAGGTGCTGGAGAGGATGTGGAGAAATAGGAACACTTTTACACTGTTGGTGGGACTGTAAACTACTTCAACCATTGTGGAAGTCAGTGTGGTGATTCCTCAGGGATCTAGAACTAGAAATACCATTTGACCCAGCCATCCCATTACTGGGTATATATCCAAAGGATTATAAATCATGCTGCTATAAAGACACATGCACACGTATGTTTATTGCAACACTATTCACAATAGCAAAGACTTGGAACCAACCTAAATGTCCAACAACGATAGACTGGATTAAGAAAATGTGGCACATATACACCATGGAATACTATGCAGCCATAAAAAATGATGAGTTCATGTCCTTTGTAGGGACATGGATGAAACTGGAAACCAACATTCTCAGCAAACTATCACAAGGACAAAAAACCAAACACCGCATGTTCTCACTCATAGGTGGGAATTGAACAATGAGAACACATGGACACAGGAAGGAGAACATTACACAGCGGGGCCTGTTGTGGGGTGGGGGGAGGGGGGAGGGATAGCATTAGGAGATATACCTAATGCTAAATGACTAGTTAATGGGTGCAGCACACCAACATGGCACATGTATACATATGTAACAAACCTGCACATTGTGCACATGTACCCTAAAATTTAAAGTATAATAATAATAAAATTTAAAAAAAAAGAAAAGAAAATACTACAGTGAACCCAAAGAAAATGAGACTGTGAACCCAGAAAACAGATGATAGTACACCCAGAGAAAATAAGACCGTGATCCCAGAGAAAATAAGACCGTGAACCCAGAAAAAATATGACTGTGAACCCAGAGAAAAGGCGACAGTGAACCCAGAGAAAAGACGATGATGAACCAAGCAAACAGATAGTGAACCCAGAGAAAAGATGACAGTGAGCTCAGAGATAAGACGATGGTGAACAAAAGAAAATACAACAGTGAACCCAAAGAAAATACGACAGTGAACCCAGAGAAAAGATGACAGTGCACCCAGAGAAAAGATGATAATGAACCCAGAGAAAGAAGACAGTGAACCCAGAGAAAAGGTGACAGTGAACCCAGAGAAAAGATGACAGTGAACCCATAGAAAAGAAAATGGTGAACCCAGAGAAAAGACAATGATGAACCCACAGAAAAGACGACAGTGAATCCAGAGAAAATGCAACAGTGACACCAGAAAAAAGATGACAGTGACCCAAGGAAAAGATGACAGTGAACTCGGAGAAAAAAATGACAATGCACGCAGAAAAAACACGACAGTGTACTCAGAGAATATACAACAGTGAACCCAATGAAAAAACGACAGTGCACCCAGAGAAAAGATGACAGTGAACCCAGAAAAAAACATGATGGTGAACCCAGAGAAAAGATGACAGTGAACCCAGAGAAAAAAGGATGGTTAACTCAAAGAAAAGACAAAGGTGAACCCAGAGAAAATACAACAGTGAACCATTGAAAAGACAACAGTGCACCCAGAGAAAAGACGACAGTAAATGCAAACATAAATCGACAGTGAGCCTAAAGATGACAGTGAACTCAGAGAATAAAAGATGGTGCACCCAGAAAATATGACAGCGAACCCAGAGTTTCGACAATGGAGAACCCGGAGGAAAGATGACAGTGCACCCAGAGAAGAGAAGACGGTGAATCCAGATAATTGACAAAGGTGAATCCAGAGAAAATACGACAGTGAACCCAGAGAAAAGATAACAGTAAACCCAGATGAAAGGCAACAATACACCCAGAGAAAATACAGCAGTGAACCCAGAAAAAAGACGACAGTGTACCCAGAGAAAAAATGATGGTCCGGCCAGATAAAAGATGGTGCACCCAGAGAAAAGATGATGGTGAACCGAGAGAAAAGACAACGGAGAACCCAGAGAAAATACAACAGTGAACACAGAGAAAATACAACAGTGAACGCAGAGAAAATACAACAGTGAGCCCAAAGAAAAAAATGACAGTGAACCCAGAGAAAAGACAAAGGTGCACCCAGAGAAAAGATGACAGTAAACCCAGAGAAAAGATGAAAGTGAACCCAGAGAAAATACAAGAGTGAACCCAGAGAAAAAATTACAGTGGACCCAGAGAACATACAACAGTGAGCCCAGAGACAAGATGATGGTGAACCCAGAGAAAAGATGAAGGTGCACCCAGAGAAAAGATGACAGTGACCCCAAAGAAAATATGACAGTGAACCCAGAGAAAAGATGACAGTGAATCCAGAGAAAATGCAACAGTGACTTCAGAGAAAAGATGACAGTGACCCCAAAGAAAATATGACAGTGAACCCAGAGAAAAGATGACCATGCATCCAGAAAAAACCCAAAAGTGTACACAAAGAATATGCAACAGTGAACCCAACGAAAAGATGACAGTGAACCCAGAAAAAAGATCACAGTGAACCCAAAGATAAATTGACAGTGAACCTAAAGAAAAGATGACAGTGAACTTAGAGCATAGAGAATGGTACACCCAGAAAATACGACAGCAGACCCAGAGTTTCAACAATAAAGAACCCAGAGGAAAGACAATAGTGCACCCAGAGGAGAAGACAGTGAATCCAGATAATTGACAATGGTGAATTGAGAGAAAATACGACAGTGAACACAGAGAAAAGACTACAGTAAACCCAGATGAAAGGTGACCGTGCATCAAGAGAAAATACAGCAGTGAACTCAGAGAAAAATGACGGTGAACCCAGAGAAAAGACAAAGGTGCACCCAGAGAAAAGACAACAGTAAACCCAGAGAAACAAAAACAGTGCACCCAGAGAAAAGATGCCAGTGAATCTAAGAAAATACAGCAGTAAGCCCAGAGAGAAGATGACAGTGAACCCAGATAAAAGACGATGGTGCACCCAGAAAAAAGACGACCATGAAGCCAGAGAGAAAATGACAGTGAACCCACAGAAAATAAACAGTGAACCTAGAAAAAACACAACAGTGAACCCAGAGGAAAGATGACATTGCTCCCAGAGAAAAGACGACAGTGAACCCAAGAAAGGATGACAGTGAACCTGGAGAAAATACAACAGTGAACCCAGAGAAAAGACAGCGGTAAACCCAGAAGAAAGATGAAAATGAACCCAGAGAAAACGTGACAGTGAACCCAGAGAAAATACAACATTGAACCCAGAGAAAAGTCGACAGTGAAACCAGAGAAAAGACGATGGTGCACCCAGAAAAAAGATGACGGTGAACCTAGAGAAAAGACGACGATGAATCCAGAGAAAATGTGACAGTGAACCCAGAGAAATAACAACAGTGAACACACAGAAAATATGACAGTGAACACAGAGAACAGACGATGGTACACCCAGAGAAAAGATGATGGTACGCCCAGAGAAAAGACGACATTGCACCCAGAGAAAAGATGACAGTGAACCTAGAGAACAGATAGCCCAGAGAAATGACGACAATGAACCCAGAGAAAAGACGACAGTGAACCCAGAGAAAATACAACAGTGAACCCAGAGAAAAGCTGACAGTGACCACAGAGAAAAGACAATCGTGCACCCAGAGAAAACACGACAGTGCACCCAGAGAAAATACAACAGTGAACCCAGAGGAAAGACGACAGTGAACCCAGAGAAAATACAACAGTGAACCCAGAGGAAAGACGATAGTGAACGCAGAGAAAAGACAACAGTGAACCCAGAGAAAATATGAATGTGATCCCAGAGAAAAGACAACAGTGCACTCAGAGAAAAGATGATAGTGAACCCAGAGTAAAGACGACAGTGAACGTAGAAAAGATGACAGTGCAACCAGAAAAAATACAACAGTGAGACCAAGGAAAGGCGACAGTTTACCCAGAGAAAAGACAATGGTGCACCCAGAGAAAAGACAATGGTGAAACCAGAAAAAAAGACAGTGGACCCAGAGAACATAGGATAGTGAACCAAGAGAAAAGACGACAGTGAACCCAGAGAAAGGACGAAGGTGCACCCAGAGAAAAGATGACAGTGAACCCGGAGGAAAGACGACAGTGAACCCAGAGAAAAGTTGACAATGAATCCAGAGAAAATACAACAGTGAATCCAGAGAAAAGATGAAAGTGAACCCAGAGAAGAGACGACGGTGCAACCAGAGAAAAGATGATGGTGAACCAGAGAAAAGAAGACAGTGAAACCAGAGAAAATATGATGGTGAACCCAGAGAAAAGATGACAGTGAATCCAGAGAAAATGCAACAGTGACCACAGAAAAAAGATGACAATGCATCCAGAAAAAACAAGACAGTGTACCCGAAAATATACCACAGTGAACCCAGTGAAAAGACAACAGTGCACCCAGAGAAACGACAACAGTGAACCCAGAGAAAAGACAATGGTGAACAAAGAGAAAAGAAGACAGTGAACCCAGAAAAAAGATGACACTGAACCCACAGAAAAGACGGCAGTGAACCCAGAAAAATGGCAACAGTGCAGCCAGAGAAAAGATGTCAGTGAATCTAAGAAAATACAAGAGTGAACCCAGAGAAAAGATGACAGTGAACCCAGAGAAAAGACGACAGTGAACTCAGAGAAAAGATGATGGTGCACCCAGAGAAAAGGTGACAGTAAGCCAAAAGAGAAAATGACAGTGAACCTGAAGAAAATACAACAGTGAACCCAGAGAAAACATGACAGTGAACCCAGAGAAAAGACAATGTTGCTCCCAGAGTAAAGACAACAGTGAACTCAGAAAAAAGATGACAGTGAAAGCAGAGAAAATACAACAGTGAACCCAGAGAAAAGACAATGATGAATTCAGAGAAAACACAACAGTGAACCCAAAGAAAATACAACAGTGAACCCAGAGAAAAGTTGACAGTGAATCCAGAGAAAAGACGATGATGAACCCAGAAGAAAGACGACAGTGAACCCCGAGAGAAGATGACGATGAACCCAGAGAAAAGACAACAGTGAAACCAGAGAAAAGACAACAGTGAAGCCAGAGAAAATGCAACAGTGACCCCAGAGAAAAGATGACAGTGAAGACAGAGAAAAGGCGACGATGCACCCAGAAAAAAGACGACAGTGTACTCAGAGAATATAAAATAGTTAACCCAGAGAAAAAAAAATCAGTGAACCCAGAGAAAAGATGATTGTGCACCCAGAGAAAACACGATAGTGCACCCAGAGAAAAGATGACAGTGAACCCAGAGAAAAGGTGACAATGAACCCAGAGAAAATACGGCAGTGCACCCAGAGAAAAGAAGACAGTGAATCCAGAGAAAATACAAAAGTGAATCCAGAAAAAAAGACGACAGTGAACTCAGAGAAAAGACGATGGGGCAACCAGAGAAAAGATGACGGTGAACCTAGAGAAAAGATGACGGTGACCCCAGAGAAAAGATGACAGCGAATCCAGAGAAAATGCCACAGTGACCCCAGAGAAAAGATGACAGTGACCCCAGAGTAAGATGACAGATGCACCCAGAAAAAACACGACAGTGTACCCAGAGAATACACAACAGTGAACCCAATGAAAAGATGACGGTGAACCTAGAAAAAAGACAATGATGAACTCAGAGAAAAGGTGACAGTGAACCCAGAGAAAACACAACAGTGAATCCAGAGAAAATGAAACAGTGACCCCAGAGAAAAGATGACAGTGAACACAGAAAAAGCAGTGATGCACCCAGAAAAAACACAACAGTGTACTCAGAGAATATACAATAGTGACTCAGAGAAAAGATGACAACGAACTCACAGAAAAGACGACAGTGCAGACAGAGAAAAGATGACAATGAACCCAAAGAAAAGATGACAGTGAACTGAGAGAAAAGATGACAGTGAACTCAGAGAAAAGATGACAGTGAACCCAGAGAAAAGATGACAGTGAACCCACAGAAAATACAACAGTGGAACCAGAGAAAAGATGATAGTGCATCCAGAGAAAAGACAACGGTGCATCCAGAGAAAAGACGACAGTGAACCCGGAGAATATACAACAGTGAACCCAGAGAAAAGACTATGGTGCACCCAGAGAAAAGACGACAGTGAACCCAGAGAAAAGACAACAGTGGACCCGGAGAATATACAACAGTGAACCCAGAGAAAAGACAACAGTGAACCCAAAGAAAAGACGACGGTGCACCCAGAGAAAAGACGACAGTGAACCCAGGGAAAAGATGACAGTGAATACAGAGAAAATACAACAGTGACCCCAGAGAAAAGATAGGTGCACCGTCGTTATTTCTCTGGGTTCACTGCCATCTTTTCTCTGGGTTCACCGTCATCTTTTCTCTGGATTCACTTTCTTCTTTTCTCTGGGTTCACCGTCGTTTCTCTGGGTTGACTGTCGTTTTTTCTCTGGGTTCACTGTCGTCTTTACTCTGGGTTCACTGTCGTCTTTTCTCTGGGTTCATTGTTATCTTTTCTCTGGGTGCACCCTTGTCTTTTCTCTGGGTGTACTGTCATCTTTTCTTTGGGTGCACCATTGTCTTTACTCTGGGTCCACCGTCGTCTTTTCTGGGTTCACTTTTGTATTTTCTCTGGGTTCACCATCGTCTTTTCTCTGGGTTCACTGTCATCTTTTCTCTGGGTTCACCGTCGTCTTTTCTCTGGGCTCACTGTCATCTTTTCTCTGGGTTCACTGTCGTATTTTCTCTGGGTTCACCGTGATCTTTTCTCTGGGTTCACTGTTCTGTGGGTTCACTGTCGTCTTATTTCTGAATTCGCTGTCACCTTTTCTCTGGGTTCACCATCGTCTTTTCTCTGGGTTCACTGTTGTATATTCTCTGGGTGCACCGTAGTCTTTTCTCTGGGTTCACTCTCGTCATCTCTCTGGGTTCACTGTCGTATGTTCTCTGGGTTCACCATTGTTGATTCTCTGGGTCCCTTTTTCTCTGGATGCGCTGTCATCTTTTCTCTGGGTTCACCGTCGTCTTTTCTCTGGGCTCACTGTCATCTTTTCTCTGGGTTCACTGTCATATTTTCTCTGGGTTCACCATGATCTTTTCTCTGGGTTCACTGTTCTGTGGGTTCACTGTCGTCTTATTTCTGAATTCGCTGTCGCCTTTTCTCTGGGTTCACCATAGTCTTTTCTCTGGGTTCACTGTTGTATATTCTCTGGGTGCACCGTCGTCTTTTCTCTGCGTTCACTGTCGTATGTTCTCTGGGTTCACCATTGTCGATTCTCTGGGTCCCTTTTTCTCTGGATGCACCGTCGTCTTTTCTCTGGGTTCACCGTTGTTGATTCCCTGGGTTCACTGCTGTCTTTTCTCTGGGTTCACTGTCTGTTCTCTGAGTTCACTGTCACCTTTTCTCTAGATGCACTTTTGTCATTTCCCTGGCTTCCTCACCGTCTTCTCTCTCACGATAGTGCATCGTCTGGCTGCACTATCATCTTTTCCTGGGTTCACCGTTGTCTTTTCTATGGGTTCACTGTCATCTTTTTTCTGTGTTCACCACCATCTTTTCTCTGGGTTCACTGTCTTCTTTTCTCTGGGTGCACTGCCATTTTTTTCTGTGATTTCATTGTTGTCTTTTCTCTGGGTTCACTCTAATCTTTTCTCTGCGTTCACTGTCGTCTTTTCTTTGTGTTCACTGTCGTCTTTTCTCTAGGTTCACCATCATCTTTTCTCTGGGTACACTATCGTCTTTTCTCTGGGTTCATCGTCATCTTTTCTCTGAGTTCATT
Organism: Homo sapiens; assembly: GCF_000001405.40. Classification (NCBI taxonomy): domain Eukaryota; kingdom Metazoa; phylum Chordata; class Mammalia; order Primates; family Hominidae; genus Homo; species Homo sapiens. The sequence continues at coordinate 160,854,161 of NC_000006.12, forward strand.
GTCTTCTTTTCTCTGGGTACACCATCATCTTTTCTTTGGGTTTCCTGTCATCTTTTCTCTGGGTGCACCGTCATTTCTTCTGAGTTCACTGTCAACTTTTCTCTGGGTTCACTGTTATCTTTTCTCTGGGTGCACTGTCGTCTTTTCTTTGGATTCCCTGTCATCTTTTCTCTGGGTTCACTGTGTACTTTCTCTTGATTCACTGTCATCTTTTCTCTGGGTGTACTGTCGTCTTTTCTTCGGGGTTACTCTTATATTTTCTCTGGATTCACTGTCATCTTTTCTCTGGTTTTACTTTCGTATTTGTTCTGGATTGACTGTCGTCTTTTCTCTGGAAGCACCGTCGCCATTTCTCTAGGTGCACTGCTGTCTTTTCTCTGGGGTCACTGTTGTATTTTCTCTGGATTCACTGTGGTCTTTTCTCTGGGTTCACCGTCGTCTGTGATCACTGTCATCTTTTCTATGGGTTCACTGTCATCTTTTCTCTGGGTTCATTGTTTTCTTTTCTCTGGATGCACTGTTGTCTTTTCTCTGGCTTCACCATCATCTTTTCTCTGTGTTCACTCTTGTCTTTCTTCTGGATTCACCGTTGCCCTTTTTTGGGCTCACTGTCATCTTTTCTCTGGGTGCATTATTGTCTTTTCTCTGGGTGCACTGTCATCTCTTCTCTGGGTTTACGGTCATTTTTTCTCTGGGTTCGCTGTTGTATTTTCTCTTGATTCACTGACGTCTTTTCTCTGGGTGAACTGTTGTCTTTTCTTTGGGTCTCCTGTCATTTTTTTCTCTGGATTCACTGTTGTATTGTCTCTGATTCACTTTCATCTTTTCTCTGGGTGTACTGCTGTCTTTTCCCCAGGGTCATTGTTGTATTTTCTCTGGATTCACTGTCCTCTTTTCTCTGGGTTCACTGTCATCCTTTCTCTGGGTTCACTGTCGTACTCTCTCTGGGTTGACTGTCGTCTTTTCTCTGGAAGCACCATTGTCTTTTCTCAGGGTTCACCATCGTCTTTTCTCTGGGTTCATCATCGTCTTTTCTCTGGGTTCACCATCATTTTTTCACTGTCTGTTCTCTGGGTTCACTGTCATCTTTTCTCTTTGTTCACTGTCATCTTTTCTCTGGGACCACCGTCGTCTTTTCTCTGGGTTCACTGTTGTCTTTTCTCTGGGTCCATCATCATCTTTTCTCTGGGTTCACTGTCATCTTTTCTCTGGGTGCATTGTCATCTTTTCTCCTGGTTGACCGTTGTTGATTCTCTGGGTTCACCATCATGTTTTCTTTGGGTTCACTGTCTTTTCTCTGGGTTCACTGTCATCTTTTTTCTGGGTTCACCATCATCTTTTCTTTGGTTTCACTGTCGTCTTTTCTCTGGGTTCAGTGTCATCTTTTCTCCGGGTTCACCGTTGTCATTTCTCTGGGTTCACCATTGTCTTTTCTCTGTATTCACTGTCATCTTTTCTCTGGGATCTCCATCATCTTTTCTCTGCGTTCATTGTTGTCTTTTCTCTGGGCTCACTGTTGCCTTTTCTCTGGGTGCACCATCGTCTTTTCTCTGGGTACACCTTTGTCTTTTTTTGGTTCACTGTCATCTTTTCTCTGGGTTCAACATTGTCTTTTCCCTGAGTACACCATCATCTTTTCTCTGGGTACACCATCATCTTTTCTCTGGGTGCACTATCATCTTTTCTCTTGGTTCACCATCATCTTTTCTCTGGGTTTACTGTCATCTTTTCTCTGAGTTCACCATCATTTTTTCTCTCGGTGCAACTTTGTCCTTTCTGTGGGTTCACTGTCATCTTTTCTCTGGGTTCACCATTGTCTTTTCTCCGAGTTCACTGTCATCTTTTCTCTGGGTCCACTGTCATCTTTTCTCTGGGTCCACTGTCATCATTTCTCTGTTGCCCTGTCATCTTTTCTCTTGGTGCACCGTCATATTTTCTCTGAGTAACTGTCCTCTTTTCTCTGGTTTCACCATTGTATTTTCTCTGGGTGCACTGTTGTCTTTTCTGTGGGTTCACTGTAGTCTTTTTTCTGGGTTCATTGTCGTCTTTTCTCTGGGTTCACCGTCATCTTTTCTTTGGGTTCACTATTGAATATTATCTGGGTGCACCATCATTTTTTCTCTGGGTTTACCATCATATGCTTTCTGGATTCACTGTTGTCTTTTCTCTGGGTACACTGTCATCTTTTCTTGGGTTCACTGTCATATTTTTTTCTGGGTTCAACATCGTCTTTTCTCTGGGTGCCCCTTCATATTTTCTCTTGGCTCACCATTGTCAATTCTCTGGGTTCACTGTCATATTTTTTCTGGGTGCACCGTCATCTTTTCTGTGGGTTCACTGACATCTTTTCTCTGAGTTCACTGTCTAATATTCTCTTAATGCAATGCCTTCCTTTCTTTGAGTGTACTGTCACCTTTCCTCTTGGTGCACTGTTGTATTTTCTTGGGGTAAACCGTCATCTTTTCTCTGCGTTCGCTGTTGTATTTTCTCTGGGTGCACCGTCTTCTTTTCTCCAGGTTCACTGTCATCTTTTCTCTGGGTTCAATGTAGGATATTATTTGTGTTCACCGTTGTCAGTTCTCTGGGTTCACTGTGGTCTTTTATCTTTATGCATCATCATCTTTTCTCTGGGTTCACTATTGTCTTTTCTCTTGATGTGCTGTCATTTTTTCTCTGGCTTCACCATCGTTTTTTTTCTGTGTTCACTCTCGTTTTTTCCCTGGGTCCACCATCGTCTTTTCTTTGGGTTCACTGTCATCTTTTATCTGGGTTCACTGTCATCTTCTCTCTGGGCTCACTGTCGTCTTTTCTTTGGGTGCACGGTCGTCTTTTCTCTGAGTTCACTGTGGTTTTTTTCTCTGGGTTAACCGTTGTCTATTCTCTGGGTGCACTGTCATCTTTTCTCTTGATTCATTGTCGTCTTTTCTGTGGGTGCACTGTCATCTTATCTCTGGGTTCACTGTTGTATTTTCCCTGGTTTCACTGTCGTCTTTTCTCTGGGTTCTCTATTGTATTTTGTCTGAGTGCACTGTTGTCTTTTCTCTGGGTGCACCATCATTTTTACTCTGGGTTCACTGTCGTCTTTTTGGATTCACCATTGTCTTTCCTCTGGGTTCGCTTTCGTATTTTTTCTGGGTTCACTGTTGTCTCTTCTCTGGGTGCATTGTCTCTTTTTTCTGGGTTCACTGTTGTATTTTTCTGGGTTCACTGTTATATTTTGTTTGGGTTCACCTTCGTCTTTTCTCTGAGTTCACCATCATCTTTTCTCTGGGTTCACCATCATCTTTTCTCTGGGTTCACCATCATCTTTTCTCTGGGTCCACCATCATCTTTTCTCTGGGTTCACTGTCATCTTTTCTCTGCATTCACTGTCATCTCTTCTCTGGGTCCCCTTTTATATTTTCTCTGGGTGCACCATTGTCTTTTCTCTGGTTTTACTGTCATCTTTTTGGGGGTTCACCATTGAATTTTCTCTGGGTTCACCGTCCTTTATTTTCTGGGTTCAACTTTGAATTTTCTCTGGGTTCACCATCCTCTTTTTTCTGGGTGCACTGTCATCTTTTTTCTTGGCTTACTATTGTATTTTCTCTTGATTCATTGTTGTCTTTTCTCTGGGTTCACCATCATCTCTTCTCTGAGTTCATTTTTGTATTTTCTCTGGGTGCACCGTCATCTTTTCTCTGGATTCTCTGTCATCTTTTCTCTGGTTTCACTGTCATATTTCTTCTGTGTTCACCGTCATCTTTTCTCTGGGTGCACTGTCTCTTTTCTCTGGGTTCACTGTCGCCTGTACTCTGGGTTCACTGTCTTCTTTTCTCTGAGTTCACTGTCATCTTTTCTCTGGGTTCACTGTCGTCTTTTCTCTGGGTTCACCATCATCTTTTCTCGTGTTTCCCCATTGTCTTTTCTCTCGGTTCACCGTCATTTTTTCTCTGGGTTCACTGTCATCTTTTCTCTGGGTGCCTTATCATTTTTTCTCCTCTGGGTTCACTGTCACCTTTTCTCTGGGTTCACTGTCACCTTTATCTAGGTTCACGTTCATGTTTTCACTGGGTTCACCATTGTGTTTTTTCTAGGTTCACCATCATCTCTTCTCTGGGTGCACTGTCATCTTTTCTTTGGGTTCACTGTCATCTTTTCCCTGGGTTCACAGTCATCTTCTCTCTGGGTTCACTGTCATCTTTTCTCTGGGTTCACCAGTCATCCCCCACTGGGCATCTGTTTGAAGGAAAGGTAACCGTATATCCAAGAGGCATCCATACCCCATGTTACTGTAGCACAGTCATGATAGCCAAGATATGGAATCTACCCAGGGGTCCATCCAGGGACAAATGGATACAGGAAATGTGGTACCTACTCTATTATATTGAATTTAGCCTGACGCTGCCTCTTTGTAAGTTGGATCTGAAGGTTTCTTCATACACAGTGAGCTTTTAGCTAATGGGAGGGTAAACAGACTGTAACCCACTCTTGTACTAATCACCAAGTAGTAATTAGCACACTACTAATCAGCCGATCACAGGCAGCCAACTGCTCAAACCATGTTCAAAAAAGGCAAACACCGTGCTGTAACAACCAGGTGGTTCTATACCTCTCTTCCATTTTCTGTGTATCACTTTCCTTTTTCTCTCCATGAATTCTTGCCGCCCCCCCCCCCACCCTGCCACCCCACCAACCAGAGACAGTGTGAGGTCTTTGAACCTTTTCTGGTTTGGGGACTGCCAAATTCATGAATAGTTCTTGCTTAGTTAAACTCTTAAATTTAATTTATCTAAGGTTTTTATTTTAACAATGGAATACTTCAGCCAAATTAAATTTAAAAGAGCTTAGCTGAGCAACGAATGATTCATGAATCGCACAGCCCCCAGAATCACAGCAGATTCAGAGAGACTCCAGAGGTGCCTCATCATCAGAACAAATTTATAGACATAAAAAGTAAAGTGACATGTAGAAATCGGGAGTGAGGTATAGAAACAGCTGGATTGGTTACAGGTTGGTGTTTGCCTTATTTGAACATGGTTTGAACACTCAGCAGTGTATGAGTAGTTGAAGTACAGCTGCTGGGATTGGCCAAGACTCAGCAATTGTTACAGGTGCAGACTCCTAATTTGGGGTTTCAATCTTGTCTACCTGTTAAGTTGGTTTACGGTTCATCCACGAGGACTCAAATACCGAAGTACGGAGCCCTTCTCAGGCCATATTTACTTCACGTTAACACTATTCAGCCATAAAACAGAATGAAATCCTGTCATTCATGGCATCATGGATGGAACTGGAGAACATTATGTAAAGTGAAACAAGCCAAGAACAGAAAGTTAAACACCACATGTTCTTACTCATATATGGAAGCTAAAAATACAGTGAATCTAATTGAAGTAACAAGCACAACAGAGGATACTAGAGGCTGGGAAGTTAGGGGAAGGGGCATAGGGAGATATTTGTTAAAGCACGCAAAGTCACAGCCACACAGAAGGAAGAAGTCCTAGTGTTCTATGCCGCTGCAGGGTGATCAGGGTTAACAGTAGTATAATATATAATAGTTTCAAATAGCTGGAAGGAGGATATTGAACATCCCCACCACAGGGAATGATAAATATTTGAGACAATGGATATGCTAATTACTCTGATCTGATCGCTATACATTATATATAACAAAACTTCACTAGGTACCCGATGAATATATACAATTATTGTTTGTCAGTTAATAAAATAAAATAATGAAAATAAAGAGAAAATTACGCTCATTTGTACTGAGTAGCTCTTGGAAAGCGAACTTGTGCAGGAACAGGAAGGGCACTGGTGCACAACAGCCACTCCCTGTGTTCTCCCAACACAGCGGGGGAGTGGCTGGGTCTGGCTGATGATGAGCTGAGCTGCAGGCTTTGCCCTGTCGGGGCTGTCAAGCCCGTGCTGCAGTGTTGTGCACTGCAGAAGGGATCATGGGAACGCCTGTGCTGCCCTCCCAGGTCTCTGGCTGAGCCTTCATCCCAAACGCTCTCCCTCATGGTCGTTTTTGGTCCTGGGGCCTGTGTGATTTGGGAAATGTCCATTGGCTGCCTTGTCAGCTGAAATACGAGGCCAGGGCTGTCTTTTTAATCTGGTTCCTGGACATGGCGCCCTCATGTTTGTGGAATAAATGAATGAACCAACATACCAAAGTGCAGCAGGGGAGGGGCCCAGGGGTCTAGATCTTTTCCTTTACATTAATGGAGTAAAATATTTTGTATGTTTTCTTTTTGTGTGTGTGATGGATTTTCCATCTTGTCCCCCAGGCTGGAGTGCAAAGGTGCACTTGGCTCACTGCAACCTCCCCCTCCCTAGTTCAAGCAATTCTTCTGCCTCAGCCTCCCAAGCAGCTTGGATTACAGATGCACATCACATGGCTAATTATTATTATTATTATTATTCTATTTTTAGTAGAGATGGGGTTTCACCATGTCAGTCAGGCTGGTGTCAAACTCCTGACCTCAGGTGATCCACCTGTTTCGGCCTCCCAAAGTGCTAGGATTACAGGCGTTATCCACCTTGCCAAGCCAGTACATTATTTTCATTTCAACCATTGAAAAACCATACTGAGTACAAGAAATATAGAAACACGATTCCCATTCCATTGCTCATTTCTGCCTAAAATTCTTACTCCATTTTTATAACATCTGTTATCTAGGTTAGAAGCCAGGAGATTTACGGCTAACTTAACCCTCTTGGCCCTGAACCCAAAATTCAATGGAATATCTAATCCCAATGAAAACAAACATCACAAAACCTCACAAAACCTGACATTTTACCAAATACAGTGAGTCCTACACATTTACTCTCAGTGCTTAAATCAGTGTGTGCGTGCGTGCATGCACATGTGTGCATATCACATCTGAGTATATATATATATGTATATACACATGCAATCATTTATATAATATAAAATATGCCTTTGGATATTTTGACTTCTAGCCTATAATATATCAGATGTGCTGGTGGGAATTGGTGAGATGGTGCTAGAACCAGACAAGAATGACTGGTAGCATAATAAAATTCATGAAAGATACAAATAACACATAAAACCACAGTGGTCTGGGGCACTTGATTCCAGAGGCTGGGTCCTGGCTAGGCCCTGAAGGCATCCAGCGGCCTTCCCATGAGGCGCTGGTTCTGAGGGTGGCTTCTGTGGGTCTCTGTGCAGCAGTTGCGGCACCAGCTGAAATGCACAGGAGGCTGGAGAGAGCGCTGGTTGCCTGATGATGCAGGACCTGCTCTCCTCACAAAGGGGAGGCCAGTCATGGACTCAGAGTGGGGCCCAGAGCATCAGGACCCCTTAGGGACAGGGACCCAGCTTTCGCCAAGGCTTATAATCAATAATTTAAATTAGTCTAGAGAAGATTAAATTAGGTTCACAGTACTCAGATTAAAAAGGCAAAGGAGTGTGTAATATGATACAAATGTACTACACACAAATATACAAATATATTACAACAAAAATATAACGTGGAATTATGAATTATTTAACAAATATTTGCCACTTACTTCGGGCAGAATCTGGGACACCTGTCAATTTAACCAACCCAGCCTTAAACCTGAGCATAGATGTAACAGCCCAATTAAAAGACCTCTTAGGGCCTACAACCTTTATCTGAAAAGAAGTCATTTAACATTCTCTCAAAATTTTGAAAAATTTATTTGGGTCTTCAGGGCCTCAGTGAGGGTTTTCAGCCTGTTGAGTCATGATTGTCTCTGAAGTGGGTAAAAGTGTAATTTTGCTAATAATATGTAAACTACCAAGAAACTTTGATTATATCAGCAAGGTCTTGATCTCCACCTTGCACTGCCAAAAGCTTCCTGAGGTGGGAGCCTGTGTTTCAGGTGCAGCCCGTGGGTGGAGTTCTGAGAGCAGGTCCTTAACGAGGTTGGGGCCACAGAGAGAGGGTTGGGCCCTTTGAACTGCAGACTCTGAAAGTGCTCTTTTGTCAATGAGACCTAGTATATAAAGAGTCGGTGACGGGGCATCCCAGGAGAATGCAGTCAGACCTTCACTTAGAAGCTGCCAGAAGGAAACTAGAGCACATCTGAGCTATTCCCCCAACCAGTGTCGAGGAAGGGAGGTGGGAGTGCACGCCCAGACAGTGCAGGCCCTTGTGCCTGTTTCCATTGGTAGGGAAAGCCCTGCCCAGAATCTCACTAACACTGGCGAAGGATCCAGTACCCAGCTCAGAGGATGTAAACTCTGGGATCCTGGAGATTAAACAGACTCATTGCCACATCACAGCCTACAAGAGTAGCCAATGGAGATGAATGTCCCATTTGTGTATGTCAGAGTCCATTACTATGAAATGCCACCTGCTGGAAATTCCTAAGGTCAGAGTCCTCATCTGGAAGGAAAATACCACTCACCATTCAGTACTCAGCCTGAATATGGTTCAGTATATGCAGTTGGGTTAAATGGTGATTTAACCCAACTGCATATACACACCAAGTATTCAGTACTGAGCCACCATTTAACCCAACTGCATATACACCTAGAACAAGGAAATACATACAGCATCTTCCACCATGCAGCCAACAGAGAGACAGACACTTTGAAGCCAGCACAGCTCTTCCCTCTTCAAGGGCTAGAACACCAGTCAATGTCATCAGGGCACAGAGAGTATGCTAATGAGCAGGAGCCACATGATTCTCTAGGTGCCACAGTCAAAGTATTGGTAGGTCATTATTATAATTATGGAGTTTTATGAACTCTTCGAGTCTGGTTCAGCTCTGGCTACAAACTCTCTTGGCATAGGAAGGGGGAAAGGGCCCTCCTTTCCCATACCTTGATGATATTCCCAGGTGTATGGGGTCCCACAGCAAGGAAGTCAGCAAAAACAATGTATTCCGTCACTGCGGGAATCCTGATCTCTAGATCAGGGCCCACTGGTTTTCCTGGAAGACTGATGGACAACAGGATGCAGTAGGAGAGAATGACTCCCAGGGACCGGCAGCCTCCTTAGCCAAAAGCTCTTAGTTTTGGTGCTTTCTTCCATCCAAGACAGAATCTGCAAAAATAACTGGGAGTCCACTCTTTCTGTTCACATTTTACCTTGTTAGCACATTGAATGCTTAAAGGACAGACAGCCCAACATAAATGCCCACTCCTCCTCGAAGCCCTTCCTTTCCCCCACTGGGGGGATTTTCTTTTTTCCCCTGTGGGGTCCATACCATTTCACAGTTGCCCTATGAAAAAAATTATGCTTGCCCCTAAATTACAGCCATGTGTGTTTCACAGATGATCCAGTTCAGTCTCATAACCCCACCATCTGTCACAGTTCCCAGAACACAGCAGCCATTCAATCGGTTTTGGTTGAATTCAGTTGAATTTCCTGTACCCACTATGGGATGCATTTAACTTACACTCCCCTCCTTTGGTAACTTCAGTCTCAGAATTGGGTCTACTTCGTGCACTCTTATATAACTGGCCCCTCAACACGCAGGAGGCACTGGACACCATACAACTTGTTGGATTGAAAAGTACATGACTTCATACAACCCTGGACTGCTTTTCCTTTGAAGGAGTATGAAGAGCTGACTACCAATTGCCCCTGGGGGTCCCAATGCATACTCACTGCTCCTAGCGACCCCAGCCCCTGTGCTCTCAGGAAGGGGCTGGTCCTGGGACGGAGGCGTGGGCGGTGCCACCCTCCCATTCTGCGTGTCGCCTCCTACGCTTACCCCAGCACCTGGCTTGGTGTGGAGGAGCGCAGGTCCCACCTTCTCATCGGGCGCTGGTTCCGAGGGAGGGTGGCTTCTGTGGGTCTGTGCAGCAGCTGCAGCTGAATTGCGCGGAGGCTGGAGGGAGCACTGGTTGCTGAGGATGCAGGGCCTGCTCTCCTCACAGAGCGGAGGCCAGTCATGGACTCAGGGCGGGGCCCAGAGCCTCAGGACCCCTTAGGGACAGGGACCCAGGCTTCGTCACACCTTCCTCCCCCCAAGCTCCAGAGTTCTCTCTCCGCCCCAGCGGGCCTCCTGCCAGTCCCCACGCCTGAGGCCTCAGAGGCCAGCGCACAGGAGGCAGGCCGGGTGGGCTACCTGGCAGGGAGGCGCCTGTTCTTCCGGGGGTCTCCTGTCGATTTACCCGCATGGAATCTTAACATATTTTATTTCTACACAAAAACAGTAGAGTTTCAAAAATGAATGTGTGTCTTTTTGTTTAATCCACGTTTGCACCAGAGATCCCAGTTGAACCCCTCCTTCCAGCTCCCGCCATGTCCTCCCTAATCTAGCGGCCTGTGCCCGCCACCCCTGCGGTTCAGGACTGCAGGAACTGGAGAGGCCTTGCCAGGCATCCCAGAGCCATAGACTCTCTACCCTCAGCCCATGTCCGCTGCCTCAGTGGATACAGTTGAACGCTTTATTGCCATCTATTCGATTGCAGGCATCGCCGTCATCTTCCAGGAACAATCAGTTGCTTCACATAACTCTATAGAAACTGCACAACGAGCCGCTGAAGAGGTTGCCCAAATTCTGTCAAACACAGGGAAACATGGCTAATTTCCTAATCCGCAAACCAAGAACAAAAGTCATTCGTATTACATAATCTGAAAGGCATTTTCCTTTTTCCATTTGACATGTTCATGCATTGTTAATTATTTATTGCTTTCCTCCCAGAACATGTGGGGGTAAATTTTGTAAAAATGAGGTGAAATTAGGTTCTTCCCCCAGGACTGTCTTCCAGAGCATGCAAGGAAGGGTAGATGGGTGGGGTTATTTTATTTGGGCTTCGTGCACTGCCGATGAAAGCAATCCAGCACAAGCAAGAGCACCTGGGCCCAGATCACCTGGTGTGGTGATTTGTAAATCCTGCATTTACTCAGCCATGTTTCATTTGTCCCTTCAACTGGAGATGTTACACCTGTGCCTCCGAGACTTCATGCTAACTCTCTGCTTGGGAATCTGGCAGAAGAAGGGCAAAGCTATCAAGATGAGAGGAGATTGCTAAGGGCACTTCGGCAAGAAAAATATGCAGTGTGCATTTTTTATAAACATGTATTTTTTTCTAAAGTGAGCACTAGGAGCAAACACATTTCCCCAAACCATCCGTTGTCCCCTTTGATTATTTCCCTGATTTCACATGGGGCTCAGTTCTCTCCTTGCTTTGAGTTCTCCATGGACTCCTGGTTACCCGACATAGAAAGGCTTGGAGATGCGCTTTGAACCTCCTGGTGACTGACCACACAGATGCTGGACTTTGAGGTCAGAGACCCAACCTGGAGGAGCCCTGAATCCCACCACAGTGTTGGTCCAGCAACTCCTCCCACCCCAGCTTTGTGCTGCAGTCGACGTGCTTGGGGGCTCTCTACATTCTGTTGTGTGGACCTCACAAATGCCCACTACTATGGTGTAAATCTATCCCTGGCTTCCCACTGTTGGCACCAGGACACACTTATTTTACGTGCCCTCCCGATGGGATCAACAGGAGGTTAGATTCACTATGATGTTTACATCTATAATTTTGGCAAAGTGCAAGAGAACTCTGTACCCATACGTAGAATTTTCTCTGTTTTATGACACCCCTATCCTATCCCTCCAGTGAGCATCAAGACTCGCATCCCAGGTGGTTGTTGGAAGAAAAATCCCATTTACCCTCTACCGAGGCTGAGGGAGAAAGACTGAAAAACAGCATGGCTTAAGGGAACTCAGGAGGTCTTCTGTGCCTCCCAAAGATCTTGCCAACCGGGTGGCCAAACCTTAGATATTTTTCCAGTTAGCATTCCCCAAAAACCCCACAAGGAGTACAGAACCTGATTCATTGGGGGCGATAGTAACTATTAATTGAGAATGGACTTTTATTACCATCATTACTTCAGTACTGCTTGAAGGACTATAAAGAACATGATACTTTCATAATAAATGTTAATCAAGACAGAGACACATTGAATTAAGTACATAAACCGAGCCTCCAGTTTTGGAAGCTGTTGCCTTGGGAGAAGTGGTGGCGATGGGTCCCCAGGGTCTCGGCGGGTGCTCCTGGTGTTCCATGACTTGGTCTGGGTGCCGGTTACATAAGTGTGTTCTGTGTAAAGTGCTTCAATCTCTACACGTGCACAGTAATGCCCTCTAATTCATGGTTTTGCTTTCTGTGGTCTGAATATAGGTGAGTGCAGCAGAATAAGATACTGTAAGAGCGAGAGAGACCACAGTCACATAACTCTTATCACAGTATATTGTTATAATTGTTCCATTTTATTATTAGTTTTATTGTTAACCTCTTACTGTGCCTAGTTTTTTATTATTTATATTTATTGATTTTACTTTAAGTTCTGGGATACGTGTGCTGAATGGGCAGGTTTGTTACATAGCTATACGTGTGCCATGGTGGTTTGCTGCACCTATCAACCTGTCATCTAGGTTTTAAGCCCTGCACAGATTAGGTATTTGTCCTAATCCTCTCCCTCCCCATTTCCCCACCCCTAGACAGGCCCCCATATGTGATGTTCCCCTCCCTGTGTCCATGTGTTCTCATTGTTCAACTCCAACTTATGAGTGAGACCATGCGGTATTTGGTTTTCTGTTCCTGTGTTAGTTTGCTGAGGATGATGGTTTCCAGCTTCATCCATGTCCCTGGAAAGAACATGAACTCATTCTTTTTTATGGCTGCATAGTATTCCACGGTGTATATGTGCCACATTTCCTTTATTCAGTCTATCACTGATGGGCATTTGGGTTGGTGCCAAGTCTTTGCTATTGTAAATAGTGCTGCAATAAACATTAAGGACTGACTACTAAGTGCCCCCAGAAGTCCCCATGCATACCACTGCTCCTAGCAATCCCAGCCCATGTGCTCTGCTCTGCAGAAGGGCCTTGTCCTGGGATGGAGGTGTGCACAGGGCCACCCTCCCATCCTTGGCTTGAGTTCTCCATGCAACCCCGGGTTATGAGACATAGAAAGGCTTGGCAATGGGCCTTTGTGTGCATGTGTGCATGTGTCTTTATAGTAGAATGATTTATAATCCTTTGGGTATATACCCAGTAACCCATTGCTGGGTCAAATGGTATTTCTGCTTCTAGATCCTTGAGGAATTGCCACACTGCCTTCCACAATGGTTGAACTAATTTACAGTCCCACCAACAGTGTAAAAGCATTCCTATTTCTCTGCATCCTTGTCAGCATCTGTTGTTTCCAGACTTTTTAATGATCGCCATTCTAACTGGCGTGAGATTGTATCTCATTGTGGTTTTGATTTACATTTCTCTAATGACCAGGGATGATGAGCTTTTTTTCATATGTCTGTTGGTAGCATAAATGCCTTCTTTTGAGAAGTGTCTGTTCATATCCTTTGCCCACTTTTTGATGGGGTTGTTTGTTTTTTTCTTGTACATTTGTTTAAGTTCTTGTAGATTCTAGATATTAGCCCTTTGTCAGATAAATAGATTGCAAAAATTTTCTCCCATCCTGTAGGTTGTCTGTTCACTCTGATGATAGCTTCTTTTGCTGAGCAGAAGCTCGTTAGTTTAATTAGATCCCATTTGTCAATTTTGGCTTTTGTTGCGATTGCTTTTGGTGTTTTCATCTTGAAGTCTTTGCCCATGCCTATGTCCTGAATGGTATTGCCTAGGTTTTCTTCTAGGGTTTTTATGGCTTGCGGTTTTACGTTTAACTCTTCAATCCATCTTGAGTTAATTTTTGTATAAGGTGTAAGAAAGGGGTCCAGTTTCTGTTTTCTGCATATGGCTAGCCTGTTTTCCCAGCACCATTTATTAAAGAGAATCCTTTCTCCATTGCTTGTTTTTGACAGGTGTGTCAAAGATCAGATGGTTGTAGATGTGTGGTGTTATTTCTGAGGCCTCTGTTCTGTTCCATTGGTCTATATATCTGTTTTGGTACCAGTACCATGATATTTTTGTTACTGTAGCCTTGTAGTATAGTTTGAAGTCAGGTAGTGTGATGCCTCCAGCCTTGTTCTTTTTGCTTAGGATTGTCTTGGCTATATAGGCTCTTTTTTTTTTTTTTTTTTTTTTGGTTCCATATGAAATTTAAAGTAGTTGTTTCTAGTTCTATGAAGAAAGTCAATGGTAGCTTGATGGGAATAGCATTGAATCTATAAATTACTTTGGGCACTATGGCCATTTTCACGATATTGATTCTTCCTATCCATGAGCGTGGAATTTTTTTTCCATTTGTTTGTGTCCTCTCTTATTTCTTTGAGTAGTGGTTTGTAGTTCTCCTTGAAGAGGTCCTTCACTTCCCTTGTAAGTTGTATAACTAGGTATTTTATTTTCTTTGTAGCAATTGTGAATGGGAGTTTACTCATGATTTGGCTCTCTGCCTCTCTGTTATTGGTGTATACAAATGCTTGTGATTTTTGCACATTGATTTTGTATCCTGAGACTTTGCTGAAATTGTTTATCAGCTTAAGGATTTTTGGGCTGAGATGATGGGGTTTTCTAAATATACAATCATGTCATCTGAAAACAGAGAAAATTTGACTTCCTCTCTTCCTATTTGAGTACCATTTATTTCATTCTCTTGCCTGATTGCTCTGGCCAGAACTTCCAATACTATGTTGAATAGTAGTGGTGAGAGAGGGCATCCTTGTCTTGTGCCAGTTTTCAAAGGGAATGCTTCCAGCTTTTGCCCATTCAGTATGATATTGGCTATGGGTTTGTCATAAATAGCTCTTATTATTTTGAGATATGTTCCATCAATACCTAGTTTATTGAGAGTTTTTAGCATGAACGGGTGTTGAATTTCATTGAAGGCCTTTTCTGCATCTATTGAGATAGTCCTGTGGTTTTTGTCATTGGTTCTGTTTATGTGATGGATTACTTTTATTGATTTGCATATGTTGAATCAGCCTTGTATCCCAGCGATGAAGCCAACTTGATCATGGTGGATCAGCTTTTTGATGTGCTACTGGATTTAGTTTGCCAGTATCTTATTGAGGATTTTTGCATCAATGTTCATCAGGGATATTCGCCTGAAATTTTCTTTTTTTGTGGTGTCTATGCCAGCTTTTGGAATCAGGATGATGCTGGCCTCATAAAATGAATTAGGGAGGAGTCCCTCTTTTTCTATTGTTTGGAATAGTTTGAGAAGGAAAGGTACAAGCTCCTCTTTGTATCTCTGGTAGAATTCAGCAATGAATCTGTCTGGTCCTGGGCTTTTTTTGGTTGGTAGGCTATTAATCACTGCCTCAATTTCAGAACTTGTTATTGGTCTATTCAGGGATTCAAATCCTTACTGGTTTAGTCTTGGGAGGGTGTATGTGTCCAGGAATTTATCCATTTCTTCTAGATTTTCTAGTTTATTTGTGTAGAGGTGTTTACAGTATTCTCTGATGGTGGGATCAGTGGTGACTCCCCTTTATCACTTTTTATAGTGTCTATTTGATTCTTCTCTCTTTTCTTCATCAGTCTGGCTAGCGGTCTATCTATTTTGTTAATCTTTTCAAAAAATCACCTCCTGGATTCATTGATTTTTTTGAAGGGTTTTTCATGTCTCTATCTCCTTCAGTTCTATTCTGATCTTAGTTATTTCTTGTCTTCTGCTAGCTTTTGAATTTGTTTGCTCTTGTTTCTCTAGTTATTTTAATTGTGATGTTAGGGTGTCAATTTTAG
This sequence comes from Homo sapiens, assembly GCF_000001405.40. Classification (NCBI taxonomy): domain Eukaryota; kingdom Metazoa; phylum Chordata; class Mammalia; order Primates; family Hominidae; genus Homo; species Homo sapiens. Next base: position 160,869,743 of record NC_000006.12, read on the forward strand.
ATTTTTCCCACTTTCTGATGTTGGCATTTTTGTGCTATAAATTTCCCTTTAAACACTGCTTTAGCTGTGTCCCAGAGATTCTGGTACGTTGTCTCTTTGTTCTCATTGGTTTCAAAGAACTTCATTATTTCTGCCTTACTTTAGTTATTTACGCAGTAGTCAATCAGGAGCAGGTTGTTCAGTTTCCATGGAGTTGTGGGGTTTTGTGTGAATTTCTTAATCCTGAATTCTAATGTGTTTGCACTGTGGTCTGAGAGGCTGTTGGTTATGATTTCCATTCTTTTGCATTTGCTGAAGAGCGTTTTACTTTTTTTTATTTATTTATTTTTGATGCAGTCTTGCTCTGTCACCAGGCTGCAGTATAGTGGCATGATCTCGGCTCACTGCAACCTCCACCTCCCGGGCCAAGCGATTCTCCTGCCTCAGCCTCCCAAGTAGCTGGGACTACAGGCATGCACCACCACACCCAGCTAATTTTTTTTATTTTTAGTAGAGAAGGGGTTTCACCATGTTGCCCAGGATGGTCTCAATCTCTTGACCTCATGATCTGCCCACCTCAGCCTCCCAAAGTGCTGGAATTACAGGCATGAGCCACCATGCCCAGCCAAGTGTTTTACTTTCAATGATACGGTCAATTTTAGAATAAGTGCTACGTGGTGCTAAGAAGAATGTATATTCTGCTGATTTGGGGTGGAGAGTTCTGTAGATGTCTATTAGGTCACTTGGTCCAGAGGTAAGTTCAAGTTCTGAATATCCTTGTTAATTTTCTGTCTCATTGATCTGATTGACAATGGGGTGTTAAATATTGACAATGCAGTGTTAAAATCTCCCACTATTATTGTCAGGGAGTCTAAGTCTCTTTGTAGGTCTCTAAGAACTTGTTTTATAAAACTGGATGCTCCCGCATTAAGTGCATATATATTTAGGAGAGTTAGCTCTTATTGTTGCATTTATAATGCCCTTCTTTGTCTTTTTTGATCTTTGTTGGTTTAAAGTCTGTTTTATCAGAGACTAGGATTGCAACTCTGCTTTTTTTTTTGCTTTCCATTTGCTTGGTAAATATTCCTCCATCTCTTTATTTTTGAGCCTATGTGTGTCTTTGCATGTAAGATGGGTCTCCTGAATATAGCACACCGATGGGTCTTGACTCTTTATCCAGTTTGCCAGTCTATGTCTTTTAATTGGGGCATTTAGCCCATTTAAATTTAAGGTTAATATTGTTATGTGTGAATTTGATCCTGCCATGATGATGCTAGCTGGTTATTTTGCACATTAGTTGATGCAGTTTCTTCATGGTGTCATTGGTCTTTATATTTTGGTGTGTTTTTGCAGTGGCTGGTAATGGTTTTGCCTTTCCATATTTAGTGCTTCCTTCAGGAGCACTTGTAAGGCATGCCTGGTGGTGACAAAATCCCTCAGCATTTTCTTTTCTGTAAAGGATTTTATTCAGTTATGAAACTTAGTTTGGCTGGATATGAATTCTGGGTTGAAAATTCTTTTCTTTAAGAATGTTGAATATTGGCCCTCACTCTCTTCTGGCTTGTAGGGTTTCTGCAGAGATATCCACTGTTAGTCTGATGGGCTTCCCTTTGAAGGTAACCTGACTTTTCTCTCTGGCTGCTCTTAACATTTTTTCTTTTGTTTCAAATTTGGAGAATCTGACAATTATATTCTTGGGGTTGCTCTTCTAGAAAAGTATCTTAGTGGTATTCTCTCTATTTTCTGAATTTGAATGTTGGCCTGTCTTGTTAGGTTGCGGAATGAGTATTCTCCTGAATACTCATTTTGTTTTACAGTTTTGAAGTGAAAAGTGAATACAAGAAGTGAAAGTAGTTCAATAACTCAGCTTAGAAACATGAAGCCAAATATTGAAGGATATTTTGCAAAGATTGCACAAGGAAGTACAATCTTTAAAACTAAATGTATATTCTATTCAAATAGTAGAGCCATTGTTTTTGAAAGGTTATAGATATGGATCCATTTTTATAGATAATGTACAAACTTACTGAATAAATATGGAAAATTTCCCCCCCAAATAGTAGATAGTATGGTGTGAGAAATCTAATAAATAACTAAACATTCACCAATACGAGTTTATAGGATATACCACTCTCTGGATGTAGTAGGTGATAATTAGGCATATAAGATAAAAATTTCGTAAGCATGACATACTGGGAAAAAAGGTTAGCCATCACCTTCAATATTGTATGGCTGTGGTATTGAATGCTAGCTATCACTCAGTATCTATTCTTTTATTTTATTTTTTCAGCTTTTGGTGTAGCACATGGTTGCTTAGAATAAGAAGTGCCTATCCCAATCTCCTTTGCAGCTAGGTACAACCAGGATAATATAAATACACAATATACAAAGCCTCGCATTTTACAGAGAACTAATATGTTGGCTTTCTGTTATAATCTACAATTTATGATTCCCAATTTGATATTGTTGCTGTTTGTTTTTCACTAGCCTTCTGGGCTCTTAAATAAACTTGGGGATCATATATGGGTAGGTGAAAGGGGAGCAAGTATCAATACATTGAACCAGAAAAATACCTGAGATGATTAGGAAACAACATAGAGGTCAGTGTGATTGGAGCAGAATGAGGTAAGAGAGAGTGACATAAAACTGAGACTTAAACACTAAATAGGCCCTTTAAAACCATTGTTAAGAACTATTGTATTTCATCCTGAGATGAAAAGCTACTACTGGAGAGCTGCAAATAAAAAAAATGAACTGTTCTCAATTACTTTCTTCTTTTCTTTTTTTTTTTTTTTTTTTACAGAGAATATGATTTATTTGAGAAGTATAATAGAATTCCTAGTTATCTAATTTTACTAACTTTTTTAATGTTTAGCTTTGATAAAATACAAAAATAACGTAAAAATTACCATCTTAACCTTTTTAATTGTATAGTTCAATTGTATTAAGTATCCTCACATTGTTGTTTAACCAATCTTCAGAATATTTTCATCCTGCAAAATCAAACCTTCTTATTTCCCTCCCCTGCCCCACTTCCCCCAGCCCCCTATTTTACTTTCTGTTTCTGTGAGTTTCACTACAGTAGATACCTCATACTAGTGGAATTGCATAGCTGAAAGAAAATAATACATACTTTGCTATGTAAAATTTACTCTGATGCATTAAATTGTATTCAGTTCATTGTATTTTATTTTAAAAAGAATTAGAAACTATTCGTTGACCTACAAAAGGATATCTTATTGTAAAAAATACTGTTTAGACTTTGAGAGCAACCGGTTCAGCATGGTATTTAAGATGATCAACTCTGGATGCAGACTGCCAGTCTTTGAATTTGAGCTCCTTCACTTGCAAACTGTGTGTCCTTCTGCAAGCTATTTAAACTTGCTATGCATCCGCTTCCTCATCTAAAAGCAGACATAATAATAGTACTTAGAGAGTTTTAATTAACACATGAAATCATTTAGAAGATTATTTGTTGCATAGTAAAAGCATATGTAGTGGTTATTTTCCCATTATTTTTTAATTAATAATGAACATTATGCTTTACCTTTAGAGAAGAGTTCAGAAACTTAAATGCTGGTAGAGGAAATACAATGATCATAAAACATGAGAAGTGTAGTGTGTATATGACAATAAAATGCTGGTATTGTGACCCTAATTACACTGCATTCTAAAATGCTGGGCTAAGCCAAGCAACACAGCAAAACAAAATATGTCTAGGAGTCATTATTACCAGCAGATACCAATTGATTATTCTTAGTGTGAACCACAATCATTAATTTAGGACAGCAAATAAACCAACCTAACAAATGTAGCTCTGAGCCTTGGATATCAGAATTTTAAATCCCATTAATTAAACACTTATGATATGTCCACATTAAAATTAATATTATTTGAAATCCCATTATTAAAATGTAAGACAAATCAACAATGGTGTGCGTGTATATAACGATATATATAATAAAAAATTAACCTACAACACATACACACATACTTACACACAGTGCACACACACACACACACACACACACATAGTTGAACATCTGTAATCATCCTTCCATATCTTTGGGTTCCACATCCATGGATTCAGCAAACCACAGATCAAAAATATTTTTTAACCAAATGAATGGTTGGAATGGTTGCATCTGTACTGACCATGTACAGATTTTTTTCTTGTCATTATTTCCTAAATAATACAGTATAACAACTATTTACATCACATTTAAATTACATTAGGTATTATAAGTAACCTAGAGATAACTTAACACATACAGGAGGATGTGTGTAGGATATACGCAAATACTATGCCATATTCTATAAAGGGCTTGAGCATCCACAGATTTTTGATATCCATGGGACTCCTGAAACCAATGTCCCGTGAATACCAAGAGATAATTTGGCATTGTTTTATATACACACATGCATATAAAACATCATATATATATACATATATATAAAACAATCTGCAGTTCCATTAATTTATACAATAATCAGCAGTGCTTCTCTTCTTCAAAAGATTGATGATAATCTACTATATTTCCTAATTTAAAAAAAGATTAGTACCTGATAGGAATTCTTAATATGTAATTAACTGATACATTTTAGGTGTAAAATGTTTTATATTGTCACACTGTTTTGTACTCAAGAGATAGTTGATACATTAGAAGCTTTCCAAAAGAGTGTTGATGAACAGGCAATTCTATTGAAATTTTTTGACCTGCAATTTGGCAGACAAACTTACAAACACTTTCGGAATTAATTTAGAAACAAAATGATTTTAACTTGCTTTCACTATAATAACTGTCATTCAATTTCTATTTGCTTAAAGTGTCTTGCATTTTATAGTGACTATATTCTGTGTCTTATGCAAAAGATATTGCAATTTTGAACAATAATAAACACGAATTATTTTTATAACTTTTATATTATTATATTTCAGCAACTTTGGTATTTATTTGGAGTAAGGCAGCAGCTAGTAAATAGTATTGAAAAAGAAAAGTAATGAGAGTTGTGATTATGTTTCCTTATGCCAACTTGTTTAAACTACAGTCCCCAGTCATTCATTAAACATTAATGTATTCAATGAGGTAAAAGCATTTTTTTGAGGAGGTGAAAGTACATAATCAATTCACTTTACATTAGGGAGATTATCCCAGATAAGCAATTCTAGATAATCTGAGTGGGCCTGATTCAATTAGTTGAAAGGCTTTAAGAACACAGCCTGGGATTCCTGATGAAGTTGTTCTCCTCATGAATAACAGCTCAAGATTGCCAGCCTGCTCTTCCTAAAGGTTTGTTTTATATGTTTTAAACCTGCTTACCTAACCTGCATAATCACATTAACCAATTCCTTGAAATAAATATCTTAATATATATACATATCTCTTGGTTCTTCCTCTCTGGTTGTGCCTTAACTGACACAGCGTTAGTTGTTAATTGCCTTATCAGATATGAAGGTATGTTTTGAAGTTAAAATTATGAAAATGTTGTCATACCAGTATACAGATCAATACATTGATCAATGGAAGATGGTAAATGATATCTATATGCAAGTCATAAAAAGTGGAGTTCTAAGTCAGTAGAACTTGTAAGGAAATACAACAAAATTCTGACTATCTTCTATAGGTTGACAGTATTAAAAGATGCTGTAGATCGGGCGCGGTGGCTCATGCCTGTAATCCCAGCACTTTGGGAGGCCGAGGCAGGCTGATCACGAGGTCAGGAGATTGAGACCATCCTGGCTAACACGGTGAAACCCCGTCTCTACTAAAAATACAAAAAATTAGCTGGGCGTGGTGGTGGGCACCTGTAGTCCCAGCTACTCGGGAGGCTGAGGCGGGAGAATGACGTGAACCCAGGAGGCGGAGCTTGCAGTGAACCGAGATCGCACCACTACACTCCAGCCTAAGCGACAGAGCGAGACTCTGTCTCAAAACAAAAAACAAAAAACAAAAAAAGATGCTGTAACATAATGTAATTGTATAAAAAGAAAAGAATAAAATAATGGCAATAAGAAAAACATTCTCAATTTTACTATTAAAAACTTACTAATAGAAAACTTTATTCACAGAAATTCATATAGAAAACTGTGAATAATAGATAAAGCTCAGCTGTGTTTGTCAACTGTCAAAACCCACCACCTCCCAGCTGGACCCTGAGGAGATGGTGGATGATAAAATCTAATGTTCATCAAGGATGTTGGACAATCAATGAAAATCAGCTGTATGTTAATAAAGCTGTATTGCCTGTCCTTTACATCTTTACTTTAATTAGATGTTTACATTTTGCCCTTAAGAAAATATAGGCAAATGTTTTTTCCTATATTTTCCTTGATGAAAAATATTGAGATATCATTTGATTTCTTCCTTTCCCATTATTCCCTTTATTTCATTTAAGATGTATACTCATATTGTATCGAGCTCAGATCTCTGAACTCTTCCTCTTAATAAACAAAACTTCCATTTCTTTTAATTCATTAAATCGAACTATTTTAATCTTTCCTTGACGGTGATTTTACAAACAATGGTTGTTTATCAGAGAAAATAATATCTGGACTAGAAGAAGAGTCAATGAGATTAGTTTTGCAAATTATCAAGTCAGTTACCTAACTTGCTAAGTGCTGCCCAAATATTAGTAGTTTAATAATACTACAGAAACATCGTGTTGTCCACCTTTATAAAAATTATTCCAAATAATTATGTCATTTGTTTTCATTTGAAAAATACATAGTTCAGACAGTTAAGTTAATGATTAAACTCATGGAAGCTGACAATTCAGAATGAGCAGTACGATAATGTAAGATTAATTTTACAAATATTTTAAAGTTTCTATTAAATATTTAAAAATTATACATCAACTGGGTCTTAAGATGGCCAACTCAATGCAGCTGGGAAGTGCTTCTCCCATGGAGAAAGGCTGAGATTTTGACTAAATCAACATAATTTGAACAGATCTTTGTAAAGAAGATGTCGAATGTGGATGTAGAGAAGATGCAGGCACTGAGGCTAAAGAGGAAGGAAGCTGGAAACTCCGCGTTGGGTAACTGAATGCTGGGGCTGCTTCCTGGCCCCAAATGGTGTCTGAGGAAGGGGTAAGTGAAAGGATTTGGAGACTGGAGACCTCACGCCTGCCACGGACATTTGAGCTGCTTGGTGGATGTCTTCAGAGATTAGACAGAGACAGAGCTGCTGCAAGCTTGGTGCCAGGAAACATTGTGCTAGGGACAGCTTTGGCAGAGCCTAACCCACCAAGGGCTGCCTATCTCCCTTTGAAGGCTCTGGCCCTAGCTAACCACTGGGGAGAAAGCAGAGCCACCTTCCCTGTGGGACTGGGGCACATCTGTCCCACAGGCCACCTGCCTGCCAGCCCCTCCTAGGTAGGGCTCCTCCCTGGCCACCCTGCAGAAGCCTGTACACAACATAACTCCACTGCCCACTCTGGGTGCTTTGCGCCACCTAAGTGCATTCTGGAAGCCTGGGAGCCCTTCGAATCCGACAGCACACCTGGGACTCAGTCCCAACGGTCTGGAGGAGGGAGCTGCAAGCAGGTCCTGGTACCCCAGAGCCCTGGCCCATGGCTCAGGATTACCTAGCCAGGATCTGTGCCCTGCACTCAAGTCGGGGAGGACCCCACACTCTCAGAAAACTGAGAAGGGTGAATTGCAGAGGTTCACAGGTTGGCCTAGGACCTAGATGTGCTTACCTCCACAGGACAGGTCCAGTAAGGATGTGCCCTATTTTCATACTGGACTTCTGTCCAAGGGAGCCCTGAGGCTGAAACATCAAATTAAAAATAAATAAATAAATAAATAAATAAATAAATAAATAAATAAATGGAATGGCTGGCAAAGTGCCAGTGATCAGAGGCAGCTTCCCCAGACTCCAGGAGTGCACCTGGTGAGGGGGTCACCTGTCTCCCCCTTGCACCACAGAGCATAGCTGCAAATCCAAGGATATGCAAAGGAGTCATACTGCAAATAACAGCCTGTCTACCAACCATTGCTGTCAAGCACTATCTACCGGATTGCAGCCCAAACTACCAAAAACAACAACAAGTCACTCCGCTAATTCTCCCTGCTGATAAACCAAGGGCAAGAATTCAACAACAAAGACCCTGTACAGAGTCTTAGCCCTCTGAAACCTTCCAGAAACAAAGCCAACTGACTATACTAGATTTCCATCACAGTTAACACCAGCCTTCTCAGATGGGAAAAAATTAGCATAAGAACTCTGGCAATTCAAAAAGCCAGAGTGTCCCCTTACCTCCAAACAGGCCCACTGGGTCTCCAGCAGTGGTTAATCAGTCTGAAATGTCTGAAATGACAGACATGGAATTCAGAATCTGGACGGCTAGGAAGCTTATCAAGACAAGGAGAAAGTTGAAACTCAATCCAAGGAAGCAAAGCAATTCAGTAAAATGATTCAAGAGTTGAAAGACTAAGAAGCCATTTTAAGAAAGACCCAAACTGAACTTCTTGAGCTGAAAAATTCACTACGAGAATTTCAAAAGACAATCAGAAGTATTAACAGCAGAATAGACCAAGCAGAGAAAAGAACCTCAGGGCTTGAAGACAGCTAATTGAGTCAACTCAGTGAGGCAAAAATAAAGAGAAAAGAGTATAGAAAAATGAACAAAACATCTGAGAAATACGCAATTATGCAAAGAGACCAAATCTATGACTTATTGGCATTCTCGAGAGAGAAAGAGAAATAATAAGCAACTTGGAAAATATATTTGAGGACATAGTCCATGAAAATTTCCCTAATCTCACTAGAGAGATTGACCTGCAAATCCAAGAAATATAGAGGACCCTAGCCAGACACTGCAAAAGACAACCATCCCCAGGGCACATGGTCATCAGATGCACTAAAGTCAACACAAAAGAAAAAACCAAAAGTAGACACATGGGACTTAAACTAAAGAGCTTCTGCATAGCAAAAGAAACTTATAACAAAGCAAAGAAACAACCTGCAGAATAGCAGAAGTTATTCACAAACCATCCATTCAACAAAAGTCTAATATCCAGCATTGATATGGTTTAGCTCTGTGTCCCCACCTATATCTTGTAATCCCCATATGTTGAGGGAAGGACTTGTTGGGAGGTGATTGGATCACAGGTCTCCCCATGTCTGTTCTTGTGATAGTGAGTGAGTTCTCACGAGATACGATAGTTTAGAAGTGTGTGGCTGGTCAGGTGCAGTGACTTACAACATGCCTGTAATCCCAGCAGTTTGGGAGGCCAAGGCAAGCAGATCACCTGAGGTCAGGAGTTCAAGACCAGCCTCCCAACATGGTGAAACCCTGTCTCTTCATAAATACAAAAATTAGCCAGGTGTGATGGCAGGTGCCTGTAATTCCAGCTACTCAGGCAGCTGAGGTGGGAGAATTGATTGAACCCAGGAGGCAGAGGTCGCAGTGAGCCAAGATCGCACCACTGCACTTCAGCCTGGGTGACAGAGCAAGACTCCATCTCAAAAAAAAAAGGGGGTGTGGCTTTCTTTGTGTTCTCTCTCTGTCTCAGTCTCTCTCTCTCTTTCTCTCTCTCCCTCTCTCCTGCCACTTTGTGAAGAAGGTGCTTACTTCCCCTTCAACTTCCACCATGGTTGTAAATTTCCTAAAGCCTCCCCAGCAATGCAGAACTGTGAGTCAATTAAACCTCTTTTCTTTATAAATTATCCAGTCTCAGGTAGTTATTTATAGCAGTGTGAGAATGGGCTAATACAAGCATCTATAGAGAATTTAAACAAATCAACAAGCAAAAAGCATTTACCCTATTAAAAATGTGCAAATCACAGAAACAGACACTTCTCAAAAGAAGATATACAAGCAGCCATTGAGCATATGAAAAAATGCTCATCATTACTAATCATCAGAGAAATGCAAATACAGCAATGATATACCATCTCACATCAGTCAGAATGGCTATTACTAAAAAGTCAAGAAATAATGGATGCTGTTGATGCTTCAGAGAAAAGGAAATACTATATACTGTTGATGAGAATGCAAAATAGTCCGGCCACTGTGGAAAGCAGTCTGGAGATTTCACAAGGAACTTAAAGACACCTACTATTTGACCCAGCAATCTCACTACTGGGTACGTACCCAAAGGAAAATAAATCATTCTACCAAAAAGACACATATACTCATATGTTCATCGCTGCACTATTCACAATAGCTAAGACATGAAGTCAACCTATGTGCCCAGCAGCATAGATTGGATAAAGAAAATGGGGTACATAAATACTATGGAATAATATACAGCCATAACAAAAATGAAACCACGTCCTTTGCAGCAACATGGATATAGTTGTGGGCCATAATCCTAAGTAAATTAACTTAGGAATAGAAAAACCAAATACTACATGTGCTCACTTATAAGTGGGAACTAAACATTGAGCATATGTGGACATTAATATGAGAATAATAGACACTGTAGAACACTAAACAGAGAAAGCGGGAGTGGGTCATGGGTTGAAAAACACCTATCTGATACTATGCTCACTATGTGAGTGGTGGGATCTGTGTTAGTCCATTTTCACACTGTTAAAAAGAACTACCTGACACTGGATAATTTATAAAGAAAAGAGGTCTAATTGACTTACAGTTCCACAGTGCTGGGGAGGCCTCAGGAAATGTAGAATCATGGTGGAAGGTGAAGGGGAAACAAGCACCTTCTTCACAAGGTGGCAGGAGAGAGAGAGAGAGAGATTGAAAGTGAAGGAAGCCACACACTTTTAAACCATCATAACTCATGAGAACTCACTCACTATAACGAGAACAGCATGGGGGAATACACCCCCATGATCCAATCACCTCCCACCAGATCCCTCCCTCCACATGTGGGGATTACAATTGAGATGAGATTTGGTTGGGAACACAGAGCCAAACCATATCAGGATATGTACCCTAAACCTCAGCATTACACAATATTCCCATGTAACAAAACTATACATGTACCCCCACATCTAAAACAAAAGTTAAAATTAAAAAATATGTATATATCAAAAAGAATATATGTACACAATTAAAGCTTCATAAAATACTTTTATATCTGATAAATTTTAATGTTAAATCTAAAAATTGAATATTAAATGTGGTTAATGTTTAACATATTATTTCTTGTCAGAAATTGTCTTTATATATTAGTATGTACTTTCTAAGAGAAGCATAAGATATGTGAGGCAACCATGTCTTTTTATTAAGCACCTTAAAATTTTGCAGGTTTAGGAATCCATCTTTTCTTGAAAATTGTTTTAATCAACGTTAAAATAGTTTGAATTAAAAAACCAGACTTAACTCCCTAACAATTTTTTTTAAAGTTTTCTCGGAGGTTACTAAACTTAATCACTAAGACCACTGTCATCAAGGTTACTAATGGGCTATTGTATTTTGCTAAATAAAAAGTAAATAAGAAAAATCACAATCTTAGTTTACTTCCCAGCAGAATTTTACCTTGCTGATGGTTCTTATACCTTTTTAAAAAGTATAATATTAACATCAAAATTGAAAAGCATACAAATAATGTTAAAGTGTCTGAACAAGCAATTGGGAAACATCATCTTATTCTTCCCACTCAGCAGATATAACTATAGTAAGCAGTGCACATGGACATAGTCTATAAACTTTGAGACATGTGTTTATGCACATTCAAATGCACCAAGTCAATAGAAATGTTAAAACTGTTCAAAATAAGTTAATGAGGACAGAGCCTTTATAAAAAATAAAAGAACAAATGGGAAATTATCTTAATGGATGAGGTAATTTGTTGACATTTCCTAAAATACGAGCTGTGTTTATTTTCCTCTTTCATTCCTGACTCATTTTTGCTTTTCTGAACTATTCCAACATCTGGAAGTTCAGCCCTCTCTTCCAGCTCGACTGAGCTGCTGGCAAATGCTAATTTAAGGTTAAGGCACAAACCTGCTTGTAACACAAGGGAAGCCACCAAGGACCTGTAGGCATTCTGCTACTTTGGCCCCATGGAGAACAGAATCAATTCTGCTGCAGATGGTAAAAACCAAGGAATAGTCAACAAATGTTTGAACTAAACAGCAGAATAAAAGAAAAATGAAAACCATCACATGGAAGAATTTACACAAAAAATTATTAAAAACAGAAAGTGACATTAAGGTACATGTATTTAATATTCTCAGAAATATGCTTAGGTATATAAGAAAATGTAATGGGCAAATAAATTACACAAGAAAGGAAAGCGGGGCTGAGGAATTGAGAGACAAAGTTAAGATGTATACAAGCTGTCAACATACATTTGATGAGGATTTTTGCAGGAGAAAACAGGAGAAACAGACATCAAATAATGGAATTAATAATACAATATGTTGATAAAGTGCAAACTTACATTTTTTTCATGTATGCCTTTTGTGAGCTATCTAAAAATTCTTGGCCTAATCCAGAGAAGTGAAAATTTAAGGTTAAGACCATATATGTGTGGGTCTATTTATGACTTTATTCTGTTTGTTTCTCTGTATTCTGTCTGTTGCTCTGTTCCTACGCCAATACTTAAGTGCCATGATTACAACAGAAAACTATTTTTATGTTTATGATGCTGATTATTTCTCCACGTTCTTCCACATGATTCTTGGCTCTTTGTATTTCCTTTTTGGATGTTTTTTTAAAAAGATTTTATCTATATTATTTTGGATAATTCATGTTTTTCTTCTTAATGTGTAAGAACATTATCCTTTTCTCTATATTCTTATGTTTGTAATTGCATTTAATTTTGTTTCTGGTCTTTTATTGTTAATTTTAAAGGTTTAGAAACATTATCTGCATTTTCCTTTGTGATTCTTTTTCTCATAACTGCAATGCTTAGATAGTTCCAGAAATCACAAACTTGATCATTTTGCATCTACATTTTTCTTGATAAATATTTCTAGTAAAATACTTTCAATTTTTAAAATTTTGACTAAAACTTAAAAGTAGAGAAAGAGACATAACAAATTTTTTAAAAAATCTTAATATTGTTTGCATATGCCTTCAGACGTGACCATCAAAGATTTTTCCTGAGAGTTTTTTCCAAAGTGAGCTATAAAGTGATTTATTTTTCCCTTGGATCCGAGTGGTATAGAATTGTTATCCCAGAGGTGGCAATAGTTTTTTCTCACCACATGGAAAAAAAACTCCATACACAAAGGGTGCAGATGGCAGCCTGACTTTCATAGTCCTGTAACCCTGACTGCAAATTACAGCTTGTAATGAGTCACATACAGATTGTGAAAGGAAAATATCCTAGGCCCTTTCATGCTGGGAACTGCTCAGAGCAAATCTGTCTCCCATTCTATTCAAAGTTATTCCTATGCTCACTGAGATAGATGCATATCTGATTGCCTCCTTTGGAAAAGCTAATCAGAAACTCAAAAGAATGCAACCGTTCATTATCTCTCACCTACCTGTGACCTGGAAGCCCCCTCCCCGCTTCCAGTCTTCCAGCCTTTGTTTTAAGTTGTCCCGCCTTTCCAGACTGAACCAATGTAATTCTTACATATATTGATTGATGTCTTGTGTCTCCCTAAAATGTATAAAACTAAGCTGTTCCCGAACACCTTGGCACGTGTCGTCAGGACTTCCTGAAGCTGCGTCACAGGCGTGCATCCTTGACCTTGGCAAAATAAACTTGCTAAATTAACTGAGACCTGTCTCAGATTTTGGGGGTTCACATTTTGGTAACCACAGGGGGATTCTGAGTGAAGATGCCCCTGGCCTGTGACAAATCTCCTGTGGGTGCTTGGTACCCGCATCAGCTAACTTTATGGCTCAAACCAATGGGACAACTTGCTGAGGCCTGTGAGCACCTCCTCAGTGAATCCCTGACCTTTCAAAATTTGGTCAAGATCTAAAGTTTATTTTGCTGTACAACTTCTTTTTTTTTTTTGAGTTTTACTTGCTTCCAACAAGGAAGGCATGTCTTCCTACTTCCATGACGATGGAAAGCAGGTAACCCCTTTGTGGAGTTTGAGCTCGCTGCCAGCAGGGAAGAGGAGTTTTATTTTTCCCTGCTGCTAGGATGGGAGAGTGAAGTCTACAGCCTGAGACCCATCACAAGGTAAGAAACTGGTTTGGGATTCTGTCTTGCAAATTCTTTTTAAACAACTAAGGTTAGCATTAACAAGCAGCTGGTTTTAATTTCTGCTTACACTTAGAGCACTCAGAAATCATATAATTTGTGTGATCATTGTTAGTTTTCCTTAACTGTTTTGTTGTTTGTTTCTTAACTGTCTCGTTGGGTTTGTGTGTGTGTTTGTTTCAGTGCTTTCCCTTATCAGATTTGACCAACTCCAAACCTTCTAGCTCACTAATGTGGAATGTTCCACTCCAAAGAAATAAGAGCACCTTGCTCCCCTCAGCCTTTCCTGGCATTCTCAGGCAACTGAGAATCACCTGAGGGTGTCTGGGAGAAACACTCCCTAAGACATGCAGTGGCTCTAAATAGGTTCCCCCTCAGAAGAACATACTTGGAGTTTAATCTCAACCAGCAGGTACATAGAAGGAGCTGACCCCTCCCGAACCTTGAGGCCCTGACACACTGTGCCAGGTGGCTGAGACATGGGCGGACAGAACAGGTTCAGGGGGTCATGACTCTGAAGAGCTAGGTCTGCGAGCAGCACATTTTGGGTCTGACATACGTCCCAACTTGGTCAGATCCAAAGAGTAACTCTGAATTATGGGGAACAAGGCCTTTGAAGTGGGAGGAAAATGGCCAGCAAAAGGGAAAAAGAAAAAGGGAAAAGATTTTTAATTTTGACTACAAAAGGGGCTTTATTTACATAACAAGGCCACCTTTTTGCCAGTCAAACCAAACTGAAAGAGGAATGGCTGTACTACTGAATTAGCAGCATTTTCTCCTAGCTGACATATGGTAATGAGATTTTAAAATATTTTTTAAAGAAGTTCAATGATTAAAAGTCAGCTTAATTAGAAGGATAACATCCAAGATGTGAGTGTGTATGTGTGCACGTGTGCATATTTGTATTTAAAAGGCCTTCATTGTTTTGGGTTTTTTTGTTTGTTTTTCTCTCCTAAGACCTTGTCTTTTTTTGAGCAAAAGTTTTTTTTTCTTTCTTATCAGTTGACTGAATGCTCTTTTCACCTGATTTATTGACTAAAATAGTTATTACAACAGAGGCTACGCTTGGGTTTTTAAGGGAGAATGTAGTTTAGACACTCAGAAATGTCTTTGTTTAAAAAAAGTTTTTTTAAGTACACTATAAAAGCGTCTCCCTCGAGTACCACCAGACTTTTTCTCTCTGTACCTTATGATGGAAATTTTGCTATTTAATTTTCAACTGAGTTGTTTCCTTTAATATGCAAATTTAAGCCTATTTAGCTATCAACTGCCTCGGGTTGTAAAACAGGTTATCAAGGATCTAAAAGTCTAAGATAGGGAAAAAAAAGGTCTTATTGAATCTATAAGATGTACTTCCATCCACATGCCCAATACATCTATGTATTTATGTATTGTGTATACAATGTTTCACTACTGAAAAATATATAAAGGGCTTAAAGAAAAATGAAAGCATTTAAATAAAATACTTTATCAGGAAAAAAGAAAAGACTAGTCAAATGCTTTTTCGAGTTTATGGAACTTAAGTAAAAGCTTTAATAAATAAGCCAGCTTTAAAATTATTAGTAAAGTAATATTAGAAATGTCTGAGGAATTGCCAGCATACTTTTTTTTTGCATTTATTAATCAGACAATTTCATGCTTATCCCTGCCAAATAGTGTAAGATGTCAAAATTTGGCATAGGGGTTACAAAACTATAAACCTAGCCCAAAGCAGAGTGATCTTTGCTGTGTAATTTTTAATAAATAAGACATTGATATCGGTTTAATGAACATCTGCATCTTAAATTTAGGAAGATTACCATAATTTCTAATCTTGGCTTTAGGGAGTCTAGTCCACAGGCAGTAAGGAGGTTTGTTCTGGGAAAAAACTGTTACTGTCTTTGTTTCAAAGCTAGACTGTAAATTAAGTTCCTCCCAAAGTCCAGGAACGAAGAAGGACAGCTTGGAGGCTAGAAGCAAGATGGAGTCAGTTAGGTCATATCTTTTTCACTGCCTCAGTTATATTTTTGCAATGGCAATCTATAACTTTAAATCATAACTATCACAGTTTTCATAAATAATCCAGGTAAACAATTAAAATAAAATAATTAGGTAAATGTAATGAGATAAATACTTGTAGACAAATGTCATAATTTAGAATCTAAAGTTAAATTAAATAATAGAGATTTCATTATTTGGGTATTTTCCAATCTATATTGTAGGAGAATATTCTTGCAAAAAAAAAAGTGTGTCCTTTTTAAAAAAAAAAATAGGTGAACACGTTTTATCTAATTCAAAGCTTATTTAAAGGTTATGTATAAAACAAGGTAAAAGGAACCAGGAAATAAAAAAGAGATGTAAAAAAGTTATAAAAATAAAGAGATTTTATGTGTGCATGGTAAGAAAGCTTAAAGAGAAACAATTTTATATGAGAAAGAATCTTATATGGCAGATTTAGTCTTAGAGAAAATGACGGGTTGTTTCAGAAGGAGGAATACTCAGGACAAACCAGAAGGTCCCAAGCATGTTATGAACAGTTAGTGTAAGTCACAATAAGAGGATTTATTTTGAGGAAAAAAACCCAAAAACTTGTATATGATGAATTTGTCATATTATGATTAAGTTTTGGTTTGCTTAGGAAAAATAACTGAGATAATTTTTTTGAATTAAGGTTATTACATCCATATATCTTCCTGTATGTGCTTTTAAAGTTTTTGTGACATTGAGTTACAGGGCTTTGACTCCTGGGTCTAAAAAGGACACCAATTCCTGCTAAATCTTAAACACTGACAGCAATTAAAGCCTCATCTTCAGGCCCTGTAGAAGATGCCAATCAAAATAAACTGCATTCCTGAGACACAGGGCCAGAAAGGAAAGCCATTCAACTTCTCAAGGCCCAGGGACTATCACAGAAGAGGTGGGCATGTAAGATTGTAAGGGCCGATTTTAAAAGATAAAATAAGTTCAGTTTCTGCATAAATTAATCATTAATGTCAAAGACACACTGATGCAAGACCAGCATATGGACCACTGTGTCAGATTAGCAAGGTTTTCTTGAGGCATTAACCAACTCCTTAATAAAGGTTATAAAAGTTATAAAAGGCTTATGGAACTTATATTTTATGATCAAGATTAAATTTTATAGATTGGTTGCAAAATTTGGGAAAACATTTAATTGGCTTCATGCTATTTTTATTAGGACTTCTTATTTGGAAAATTAAGTCTCCTCTCTCAAAGAATGAAGGTTTTCACTTTTTTGAAATGCTTGAGTTACCACTTGGTTACATGAATGACTTCACAATGGCCTGTAATCCTATTTTGTGATATCAAGTGTCTTAAACCTTTTATATTTGACAAGCTTTCCAAAGTCAAACTACAAATTGTGTCTTTTTCTGACCTAATTAATCCTTTAAGATATTAGTTTCCCTAAAGTCCAAAAATGACATAAGTTGGCTTATTTGGTAAAAAAAAATTATACCAGAAGAATTGTCAAATATTAAATGGTGCTTTATTTTCTTTGGGCTGTATTTGTATAAATATGTTATTGGTAAGTGTTCCAAAATTATGGAAAACTCCTGTTATTTTGATATGACTTAGTGTACATTATTAGTAATGATTGTTATGTTAAAGTTATTGTGTGCCACAGTAATAATACATTTCTTTGTCAATTGTGTCTTTGACTATGGGTGCCCTAAAACCTTTTTTCATCCATGGACAATTGTCTTGTTTTGGTCCTCTTTAGAAGTTGGTTTCATAATCAGCTATAAAACTTCAACAGGTGCTCTTGAGTGCAAGATTCTGATAACTTCAAAGATTGTAACATTGGAACAGAGAAAAAAATGTTCAGGACTCACGGAGAGTTAAAATGTTCATGAGTATCAAGCAGAATAGAAATTAACTGCATGGACTGAACTATTCTTCCTAACTTTTAATGTTTGCTGATCCTTTGTGTTGTTTTTCAGAGTCTTAAAACTTTTCTTTTGAGCTATTGACAGCTTTAAAAAATTTAGTATACTCCTATGAACAAAATTTGGAGCATTTTTGTTTCTATCTGATTTCTCCAGAATTTGGAACTATTTGTGAGTATTCTTAACTTATGGTAATATAGTTATGTGCATAAGTGCAACAAGAAACTGTTTTCAGGCCAGGAGTGGTGACTAATGCCTTTAATCCCAGCACTTTGGGAGGCCAAGGCAGGTGGGTCACCTGAGGTCAGGAGTTTGAGAACAGCCTGGCCAACATGGTGAAACCCCGTCTCTACTAAAATACCAAAATTAGCTGGGTATGGTGGTGGGCATCTGTAATCCCAGCTACTTGGGAGGCTGAGGCAGGATAATTGTTTGAACACAGGAGGTGGAGGTTGCAGTGAGCCAAGATCGTGCCATTGCACTCCAGCCTGGGTGACAGGAGTTAAACTGCATCTCAAAAAAGAAAAAAAAAAAAAAAAAAAGAATCTGTTTTCATTTGTAACAGGACATAATTGGAGAAACTGGTTATTTGACCAAGACTTTAACTGGAATGGTGTGCTCTCCTTTAAGGAATCAAACTTGAGTTATGGAGCCAATAAAGCCCTTGGAAAAACTGGCCTCATATTCTGTGTACGCAGTCCCTGTACAGGATTTCTGACCTGTGCTAAGTAAAGAATGTCACTTTCTGACAGGCCCAGAAGCCTCAGGTTTATCTTGGAACCTCAAGAGGAGAGGAAATATACCCAACTCATAGATATTTGATGGCACGAATCCATGGCTGGGCTCAGCTTTTAAAAAGTTTTATCTGAGATTCCTTCTATGGAACAAAGTTCCATTAAAGCCAATTTAAAAGCCTATGTAAAAATAATTATTCTTGCTGCAATGCATACAAATAATTAGGCCAAGTATAATAAAGAAAACCATTTTCGATTTGCCTTTAGCAAAATGGGAAACTGGAGAGAGAAAAATTATGTTTCAAAAACTATAGTACCCCTGTTGTTAGGATCTAATCTTGCCTAATGTTTTTCCAAGTCTTCAGAATAATGTTTTCTTTTATTTCCTTCTTTTTTTCCATTTTTCCTAATTGGGAGTCACTGAAAACTAAGTTATGCTTTCTTTAAACCCTGCAAACTCAAACCAGACAACCTAAACTTCAGAAGAAAATAACAGCAATCTATTTACATACATAAGCCACTTTCATACCTGCCTACTGTTGTATAGACTTCAGAGTAATGTGGCCTATATCAGTTTTCCAGGATTGCTCTTTTGTTTGTTGTTGTTTTTCTCCCCTCCTCTCCCTAATTTCTCTTCATAGGATGTGAGACTTCACAACCTGCTAAAAATGAGCTTTTGGGACCTACCCATCTAGGAATAAACCGTCCTAACCATAAGAGATCAGGTGAAACCTGACACCAGAGGCTCATTTTCTTCTAAAATGTTTTCTGCAAAAGATTAAGAAGAAAAGGGGGAAAATGTGGAAGGAAAATACCTTGGGCCCTTTCAAGCTGGGAACTGCTCAGGGCAAATGTGCCTCCCATTCTATTCAAAGTCATCCCTCTGCTCATTGAGATAGAAGTATATCTGATTGCCTCCTTTGGAAAGGCTAATCAGAAACTCAAAGGAATGCAACTGTTTGTTGTCTCTCACCTATCTGTGACCTGGAAGTCCCCTTCGCACTTCCAGTCTTCCTGCCTTTGCTTCAAGTTGTCCTGCCTCTCCAGACCAAACCAATGTACTTATTACATATATTGATTGATGTCTCATGTCTCTCTAAAATGTATAAAACTAACTTTTGCCGTGACCACCTTGTTCACATGTCGTCAGGGCTTCCTGAGGCTGTGTCATGGGCCCACGTCCTCGACCTTGGCAAAATAAGCTTTCTAAATTAACTGATAACGTGTCTCGGATTTTTGGGGTTCACATATCCAGAAGTATATCTATAAAAAATTATTTATGTTTTCTTCAAAATTACAATATCCACTGTATAGAGCACCATAGACATAAGTAACTCCATTTTAGAAAAAGACTTCATCTTATATTTCAAATGGCATCATATCAGTGGGACCAGATGTTTGTCTAATCAATAGAGTCTATACCCAACAAGACTGAGGCGTAAGACAGCCCTCGCCAGAGGATGCAAGGAGGTACGAAGAACAGGGCTTCATCAGTTCAACACAGTCATCTCATTAGACATTGTCCTGCTGTCACTCTTGGGCAGCGCCTAGCATCTGCTGCTAAAGGCTCTGCCCAAATCAAGAACTCTCCCTTGCAAGACTTTGACAAGCGCCTGGATTAGTCCAAGACAGTCTCCTTGTCCATGTTGCTATCCTTGGACTGGTTCATTAACATCTTTCCCTATACTACACAGTTTTCTCTCAATGTTAAATGTTACTGTGATGTGGAAATTTTAATCTACCATATGCATGTATTAATTATACTACTATGTATGGTTTGCCATATTGACTAACTTGTAGATCAGCTTGAGCCTGTGTGTTCTTGGCTGTGACTGCCAAGTGAAGAGATAATGCTAAGGAGAGTTGTCTCCTTGGGAACTCCCTGTAGCTTGTGGCTTTTATGAATAAATAAGCATCAGTAAAAGCCTGACCTTAATGTTGTACCTGATCAAGTCAGAGAAAATGCCACACTTTGAGATGAATTAAAGAGTCCGTTTATTCAGCTGGTGGCCAAGAGACGGCTAAAGCTCAAAGTTCTCTCGGCCCCGAAGAAGGGGCTAGATTTTCTTTTATACTTTGGTTTAGAAAGGGGAGGGGGGGTCTAGTTAAAACAATTTTACAGAAGTAAAGTAGGCAAAAAAGTTAAAAGGATAAATGGTCACAGGAAAGTAAACAGTTCCAGGTGCAGGGGCTTTAAGACTATTACAAGGTGATAGACGCTGGGCTTTGGGCATTATCAATCGGACGAATTCCTGGGAACTGCGGATATTGCTCGCCACAGTATCTTATCAGTTAATTGCATTCTTGGATGTGCTGGGAGTCAGCTTGCACAAGTTAAGTCGTTGAGGAAGGGGCTGCCAGTGAAAAAGCCAAGATGGAGTCTGTCTGGCTTTCTTAGCTAAGGGAGAGTCAATTCAGGTGGAAACAAGGCTAGGTGATTAAAGGAAAGGGAGAGTCTAAGAACAGGGTTAGTAAAAAACAAGGTTGGGCATTACATTATAAAAAGATACAAACATGCCTGTATCTGATTATGTCTGACCTTGTACATCTCATGACATCCGCAGTCAATGAACATGTCTATTTTAGTCTCTGAATAGGCCTGGAAAGGAAAGGTATACACAAATACTTGATAAGTGGAAAAAATAAATGTTTGCAATTTGGGTACATACCAATACCTTCCTTCTGTTTATTAATTGTTTAAGTTTTGCTTTTGTTGTATGCAACTAAATCATGTTTATGGTATGCCTGTGTTCTGTTTTTTGCAATTATTTGACATAAATACACTGGTTTTGTTTTTATTTTGTTTGTTTTAGTCTACCTTTCCTCAGATAATGAGAGCACTATCTAAACATGCAATCTTTCAGGAGACAAAGTTGTGTATTATCCTTGTCTGCAGCCTTTGAACTTCAGAGAGATGGTTACTTTCTGGCATCTGATAGCTCTCTCCATTGTGATTCTACTGAAATAAATCACTTCTGTCTTTAATCATGATTCTGTATCTGAACCATTGGAGTCTACAACAAATAGTAATTTCCACATGTGTTGTTTTCAAGGATTTTCTTTGCTCTGCCCCACTTCAGCAAGTACTTTGTTATTTATGGACCATATTTTCTAAAATATAAAGCCATATAACTTTATCCACTTCTCCCTTGTCCCCTTTCTTGCCTTTTGGTTTCCTGATAATTTTAAACCATAAATTGTTAAGAGAGGTTTACTAGGAGTATGAAGACACATGAGCAGAATGCTCACTAAGTAGAAGGAAAGTCAGAACCTTCCCCAGGGTTCTCAGTGGCAAGTTATGGCGAAGGGGTTAAGCTAAGGTGGACCAATGTCAGGAAGTTCCAGTTATACTGTATTTTAGTGAGGACAGAAGACCTCTCACTTGTCAGCAGTCATTTCTGGCTGCTTTTTCCCAACTTCCTATAATACAAAATGTTCCAGGCATGCCATGAAAAACAGAGAGAAAACAACTCAATGTGGAAGCTTTCCAAACATTTGGGGCCTAATGACTAAGACATTATGAGAGAGGTGAGGGACCTGGGTCAAGAAAAGAAAAAGAAACAATATTCCCAAAAAAAGAAAGCATCTAGGGTGGAAAATCATGGGATAAAACCACACTATTGTGTGAGCCACGGGAGGCTGTCTGCTGATCTCTGAGGGCCACACATATTTTGGGGCAGAGGGGAAGGGGAGTATCTTTATTTACAATTCCTTCTAAATTTTCTAAAACTAAATCTACTGATGTAATATTTTCTGTTCTATCCTTGTTTTTAATGGAAAAATAATTTGAGGATTTTGAAGGAAATGTGATTTATAATCTTATTCACAGTCCAGGAAATGGCAAGATACTTCTTTGAAATTATTAAATATTTCTCATAATTAAATGCTTTAAAAATCCAACTCCATGGAATCAAAGCTCTTGTATTAAATCATAAAACATCACAATGATAGTTAATTTCCCTGTTTTCAAAACAGTAATTTGTTAGTAGTTACATAAATAAAATGATCACACACCACTCTTGACATACTTTTAATTGTAATATTATTTTGTCTTTTGAATTCCCACAATAACTTACAGAATTGATTGCTTCCTGAAAGGCAAGAGCTTATGTAACAGAACTATTTTTATTCTAACATGTACATTTCAAAGGTGAATCAAGAAAAAAAATTGTTTTATTTCTATTATTGTTATTACTATATTTTTAAAGCTTTTTAAACTTCATTCGGAAATTCTGTATTTCTGATGGGCAGAAAACAATCTGATGTACAATGTCCTTTTCACTAAACTACATCTTTTTTATTTTTTTAATGTTGATTTTTAAGAATTTAAGGACAAAGATCCTACCCCTTCCTCAGAGTTGGCCCTAACTCTACCCCTTTCTTTCATGAAAGATGCATGAAAAGTAGATTTTATACTCTTTACTTCCACTCTTACTCAACGTTCAGAAAACCAAAATTCCTTGAATGACTACAGGATTGCATTAAACATGTTACCTACCCTGTCTGATGTGTTAATAAATGATAATAATAAATTGCTATAGAGGTTATCAGAGTGGTCATTAGGTCCCTCACTCCTCAATCCACTGATACCTGACTTTCACTCCACCCACTGCATATGAGCTCATGTATTGATCTCAAATATTTTACAATTATAATCTGGTGGTATATTCTTAATCTTCCACTTTTGTGGTTTGCTATAGCACTTGACAAGTAGTAACAATAAGGCTTAGCATTTAAGAGAAGTAGCATTGATTAAAATTTTTATCTCTTTAAAATTCTCTCATGAAAAAGATCGCTGTAATAGTAAGACTTAGTTTTCCAGAATTAAACCAGGTTTTTCACACCTCCATCATTTCTGCCTCATGTGTCCTGTGGCCACTTTATCCCCTGATTGTTCAGGATGTGGCTCCTGCTCATGATTTTCACTCTGGAATGTGAATTCTCATATTTGGTTATTCTTTTTTAGTGTCTGTGCTGTTCTATTTACTTGCGTGCTGTTGACACAAATGTCCCCATGTCTTTCTGGCCAATCTCATTGGGTGACTTAAAGATTCATCTTAAATGACTCCTAGACCTACATCTCTTGTCATAGATTCTTTCTTTTGTACAGTCTAAATATGTATTTCCCACCGTCTGTAATTTGTTCCATCCTGAAGGGGTTTACAGTTATTTCAATATAGAGTCAAACATTAAAGGTATTTCTTCTACATGTACAAATTTATAATGCATTCCATTCTGTGGATTTGAGAAGGTTAATTAAACTTCTTTCCCTGGTTTTCTCATCACTAGTTGTTTGATTTAAGAAAACATAAAACTCTTCATACTCTGGCCTCTTTTTTTTTGAGATGGAGTCTCGCACAGTCACCCAGGCTGGAGTGTAGTGGCACGATCTCGGCTTACTGCAACCTCCACCTCCCAGGTTCAAGTGATTCTCCTGCCTCAGCCTCCCGAGTAGCTGGGATTACAGGCGCCCACCACCACACTCAGCTAATTTTTTGTATTTTTAGTAGAGACGGGGTTTCACCATGTTGGCCAGGCTGGTCTCAAACTCCTGACCTCATGATTCGCCCGCCTTGGCCCCCCAAAGTGCTGGAATTACAGGCTCTGGCCATTCTTAAAGGTCCATTCACTTATAGCTCCCTCAGACTCAATTTTCCCCAGTCTTCCCTTCCTTTTTGTTTCTGGTCTGTCTCCTAGAACAGTAGGCAGGATGGGGAAGAGTTAAGAACAGATATAGAGGTGAACACTGAAGACATTTACATTTTTCTCCTGCCCAGGACTTTCAGTTTAATACCTTTTTGTTATACCTCATTTTAAATGGGAATATATAACACAACTAAAACAGAATCTTGATTAGAGATTCGAAGTCTTCCTTCATCTGGAATAGAGCTTTAATAGAAAAGTTTCTTGAATGATATGCTCCATTCTGCTGAATACAATTTTTTCTAGCTTAAAGGTAATAAGGAGTAAGAAAGCCACATATGTACAATGTGGAGATATTGACAGGCTGTTCTCAATTTGCGGTAGTGGATACAGGGTAAATACCACAGGTTTTCTAGAAAACTACTGCTAAAAGTCAAAGAAACTTTAAAAAATAAAAATGACTTATTCCATCGGCCAAATGGGAAACACTCTGATATATTTATTATTTGTTTATTTAAAAGCAGTATTTGTCAAATAAGTACTGTATTTCAGGGATATAGAATATCTATAACTTACCAACAAGTGCATTTTAGGGGAAAACTAATCAAATGCTTTATTAATAGACTATTATTGAGAACTCTCATACTGAAATTTAACCCCAACCCTCACCCCTTTAACTGCCTTTTCTATATTTGGGACACAAACAAAAATCATAAGCCAGAAAGAATAACAGAATACAAACTAGGAGTTTCCTCCTTAGGGTAGCAGATACACACGGAGGACTAAACATCACACGTTTAACTAGAAAGGAGCTGACTAGAAAATCACTCTTAGCTTAAACTCTGAAAACAAGAATTCCAGAGCAATCATTATAACAGCAGGGCACACCAACAGGAATTTGTTTTGAAAAACAGAAGAATGTTCTAGAAATAAAATAGTTTGTGTTCTCAGTCCAAATTACTGGAAAATAAAAATGAGAAATAAATTCAAAAGTTAAAAGAATATATCTAAAAAAGAAAGCATAAATAAATCATTAAAAAGGAAAGCTACATTTGAGGGCTTAAAGCTGTATTATGAGCAAAAAAAAAAAGAACTGGACTATAGAAAATTGAATCAATGATGTGGAGGAAATAGTAAGTCCACTCAGAATGCAGGTTAAAATGTGACCAATGCTGAGATAACAGAGAACAAAAAGAAAGAGAATAAAAAGTCCACACAAATACACTTGAGTTTCCTTAACAAGAAAGCAGAAGCAATGGTTTAGAAGCACTAATGAAAGAAATAATAGAAGAGTGTTTTTCTGAGATGAAGAAAAATCAGGAAATTTACCTAATGGTAAATTCACATAAAACGGTCTTTTAAATCAGGTCTTTACATGATAAAGGACTATCTTGTACAAATGGAAAACAAAAATATTCAAAACTTCTGTTGCAGGATGTAGCTATAGCTATTGCTTCAAAATATACAGTCCCCAAATACCAGCAGCATACAACAATAAGAATTTTTTTCTCACAGATCTGCACATCCACCAATAAAGCTCTGTGATCTCAGCTGGGTTCACTCACATGTCTGGGAGTCAGCTGGATTTAGCAGGGTAGCTCTGCTTCACTCCACAGGCCTACCTTTCTCAGGTGTGCTCCACATCTGATTCTGAGACCCAGGCTGAAGGGCAGCAGCCTCCTGGGACAGCCCTTCTCTTAACAACAGTGAAAACACAAAGGGCAGGTCAAAACAAGCAAGCACACAAGTCACTGCTTGCACCCCACTTCTTAACATTCTACCCACATGCCTGAGCTCCTTCAAGGACATTTTATATACATATCAGCACTATCCAGTGAAGTCAATGAGACCTGCCATTTCTCATAGGAACTCTAGTTTAAAAAAAAAATTTGAGCCTTATTCATAACTAGAAGAGAATGCCTATGCTCTTTGCCAAAATTTAAAAAAAAAACACTAATTCATATATTTGTATATGCATTAAACAACTCAAGTTAATACTTGTAGTTTCTATTATCCTATTTCTAAATAAAATGTAATGCATAAAGTTATTTGCAAAGGAGATAGTTTGAATTTTGTCCTCACTGAACAAAGAGGCAAATCTTAGTTCTGTTCTTTCTTTTCCCAATGTATTCTCTCTCCTTTTCCTCCACATTTATCTCTAAATATAAAAGTATGCAGTTTTACTTTAGTAAGATTTAGAATTAAATCGCCTCTATGACTCACCACTCATGTCTAGCAGAAGATACACAATTTTGGTTAAATCGCTCCCAAAGTAATAAGCCTAAAGTCTTCTTTTCTGGCTTTCAGGAAGCCTAGAGAGAGCTGACCTGCTAATGAAATGACATTTGTGTAATAATCCCTGGGTCTCTTAGGAGTGTTTCCAATAAATGAAATTCAATGGCATTACAAAACGAAAAGTGCTATCACAAGAAAGGATGTTGGGAATTCCAGATGGTGTGTGTGCGTGTGCATGTGTGTGTACTGCATTTGCATAGATAATTGTTGGAGTTTGATGGACAGTTTTACATCTTTTAAAAAGTAATAATGTACAGAAATTACAAGTCAGAAGAGGAGATGAAGGAAAATAGACACTTAGACACTTTCCTGTACCATTAGTAGACATTTCAAAGGATGCAAACATTCTAGGGAAAAATACGACAATGCTTAGTGAACATTAGTATGAATTGTTTTTACCTGATAAGGAGTTTAAAAATTTTAAACTACATGCAGTTTAGAGAAGGTTGAATTTTACTGGCCAGATTAAAATGCATTATATCAAACGGGCAAAACTATTATATTCTAAAATAAGAATATTAATCCCAATAGCTCCAGTTACAATAGACACTCTTTATATACATAACGCTATAGTAGGAATAAGTGTATGCAGGTAAAACAAATAACACTGGAATCCAAGAAAGAGATGCTTTTATAGACTCTGAATTGGAAACAGTATTAAGGTAGAAAATAAGATTGCAGACAACAGGGCTTGGACAGTAAATCAAGGTAATTTACTGACCTTGAATGTACAAAAGCACTTTGAACGTGATACATTCTAGTCAGGGTCAAAATTCTCATTGATCTATACTGCCTCACCTGTTCTGCTAGACACTCTGAAATAGTTACAAACACATTTTTACATGTGCCAAGCTGATTACAGATGAGTGAAACCAAATTGGATGCTATTGCAAGAACATAGTCCCTTTTCAAAGATACAGCTGCTACTCGGAAACAGTGTTTTTGTTGCCATAAAGGAGTAAAGACCCAGTGGGCTAGGTTTTGAGTTTTTCAAGAAAGTATAGAAGAAACAATATTTGCCTTGAACTTCGTGATTTTTTAATGTATTTTATTTTACTTGGGAATTCAGGAACACAAACTCAATTTAGTAATATTACTCAGTATATGATGAACGATTCTAGTCAATTCTATAAGACCCAGTTCTTATTTATAAATTTCATATCTATATTTTATTAGATTTCATTTTAATACAATTTAAGTATTTCATTTTATTTTTCCCTTCATCATCTTCTGGGTACATACACCTTTCTATTCCTTATGTACCTCTCTAATGTTTTGGATATATAGCTGTGGTGTATATTGTTATAAAATACATGAATATTTACCAAATACGCAATGTACTTTTGTGTATTTTTTCAAATTTACTTTAAATGGTAATAAGCTATTAATAATCTTTAGCAAAGTCAACATTATATATTTAATCTACATTAGTATACCTTCGAAGAATCCTATATGTCTTAACCACTTAATATTTCTACTGGTACTGTCATGGACTACCTTGTGTCCTCCCAAAAATATGTGTTGAAATTTTACCCTCCAGAACCTTTGAATGTGACTTTATTTGGAAGTAGGGTTATTACAGACTTAATTAAATTAAGGCAAGATCATTAAGATGGGCCCTAATCCAATATGTTTGATATCTTTTATAAATGGGGGAAATTTGGGCACAAAGACAGAGAAGAACACCACAGGAAGAGAAAGGGAGAGATTGGGGTGACACATCTATAAGCCAAATGCCAAAGATTGCTGGCAAATCACCAAAGCTGGAAGAGAGGCATGGAACAGATCCTCCCTCACAGCCCCCAGAAGGAATCAACCTCACTGACACTTTGATTTCAGACTTCATGGAATGGGTCCAAAGCAACCAGAGTTGCCACTTTCCAACCCAAAAACAAAAATTAAGAAAACGAGTAAAGAAGAAGTAAAGCAATTGAAACAGAAAGAAAGAGAAAATTATGAGGGAGGGAAGGTAGGAGCATGAGAGAACAAGAGTTACTGCCACGTTGGTGTATTTTGTTCAGTACTTCATCGATGCCATGCCCGAACAACTGAAAGAGGTGGCAGTTCTGAGCTCCCTGGTCCATCAAGAGATTCAATGATCTTTAGCGTGTCTCACTTATTAATAAACATTTGTTTTCTTTAAATAAAGAAAAACACTTATTTGATTTCCTGATTTCTCCTGTAGGTCATTTCAATATCAGAGTAAAGGGCAACAATGTGTGGTAATGGCTGAAAACAGGAAGTCCTCCACAATCATGAGGATGAGATGTCAGTTCGTTTGAAAAGAAAGGTGAGTACATTTTCTTCTTCCTCCTCCTTCTCCTCTCCTCCCCCTCCTCTCACTCCCCCTCCTCCTCTTTTATGTCTTTAATTTATGAGACCAGAGAAGGAAGGGACTATGGCGTAGTGAAATTGAATTCTGAGTTAGGACAGGATTTGATTACTAATTAGCCATGTCAACTTGAGTATATTATTTCACCTCTTGGGTTTCATTTTTTGTAGTTGTTCAAAAAATGAAGGGATTGGATTTACAAAATCATACCTACCCCTATGACCCTGAAAATGGGATATTTGAAATATTATTTCATATTTAAGGAAGAAATGGGAAGTCTAAGCAATCCTTATGATCTTGGCTTCTTATTCTGCAAGGTCACCATGGCCCAGGTCTCTAATTTCTGGACCAAAGCCTTGTAAAATAGAAATACTGTGGCTTTTTCATCCTCAGTAACAGTCAAATAGGAACAAAAATTCTTATTTTATTTTGTATGGTTTTGAGAGTCTCACTGTGCCATCCAGACTGGAGTTCAGTGGTGCGATCGCAGCTCACTTCAGCCTCTGCCTCCTGGGTTCGAGCAATTCTAGTGCCTCAGCCTCCCAAGTGGCTGGGACTACAGTTGTGTACCACCATGCCCAGCTAATTTTTGTAAAAAATTCTTAGCTTTATTCTTAAATTTTCCATGTTTTGGGGGACATGGTCTATATTTTCCTCAGACTCTGAAAAATTTTTTTAATGTGCAAAAGTTGCAGTTCCTTTTCTACAGTTTCTTTTAAAATGTGGATCAGTAGTCTCATTGTTTAGAATAAGAGGTGGCCTGGATTTCAGTAGAAATTGCATGTCTTTTTAGATATGCAAAAGTTCCACTAAGTGTATGAAGATTTAAAGGGATGTATGACAGTTTAAAAACTGTTTCCTATGCTGTGTTGGTGGCTAGGTATTAAGATGGTTAATAACAACAATTTAGCTCTCCAAAGATTCTGCATCACAGGTGTTAAAGAGGAAAGGAAACAAACACCCTAGTTCTTGTATTCTTGATAATGATTTGCAATATTGTTTTTAGTATCACTGCAAACCTCTGTAAGTATGATTTTAAAAAGTACTTCTTTAGGTTGGAATTATTTCTATGCATTGGCTTGTCTTCTTGTGTTTCATTAGCCGCACCCATTGTACTTTCTTCCTTACCACTGTTTATCTCAAACTCTTGAGATTAAAGTGCAGGCTCAGGAGGGAGCGAGGAGCTTCAGAACTCTCACGGACTTCCAGAACAGTGTAGCTGCCTTATGGAAAAGTGGCCACACTGTTTTCTACAGTGGTCCCTGCTGCTGCTACTCTTCACTGGGCAGAGCACAGCCACCCTGGCCCTGCCTGAACATTTTAGTCAGTGTTGGCTGTGTGCTTCTCTGGGGAGGAAATCCCAGAGGCAACCCACAGCCCCTCTGCCATTGCAGCTGCAGCAATACCACCCTTATTGCCCTTGGGCTGCAGAAGGAACAAAGGGACCTGGTCACTTCCCTGATGCCTCCAGCACACAGCAGGGGATATATGGAAAGAATTTCAGTCTCTCTTCCCTGTGAGCTCCCACCTGCTACTCTTCACCAGGCAGGGCTCCTGGCTTGGGCCCACAGTGCAGGCACCTCACACTCAGCTGAACATTTCCACTGGCTGCTGTCTGTGTTTCTGTGGGGTGGAGCTCCTAGAGGCGACTGAAAGTCCATCTGCGACTGCCACTGCAGTGATACTGCCCTTGCTGTCTGTGGACTGGGGAAGGAATAAAGATCGTGAGTGCTTTATTCACACGCCAGCATGCCCCAGCCACCCTATGGAAAACAGGCCAGTGTATCTTCCCCGCATGCCCCTGATGCCCCACTCCTCACCAGGCAGGGCCCGCTGGCTTGGGCTCACAACACAGCCACCACACCCTGGGCTGATTCTTCCAATTGGCAGTAGCTCTAAGTTTCTCTGGAGTGGAGCCCCAAGGGACAGGCAAAATGTCCACTCCCACTCCCATTGCCACTGACAAAGTTCCTGCCCCTGCCGCCCCCAAGCTGTGGAGCGAACACAAAGCCTGAGCTTGCCCCAGGGCTGCGGTGCACAGCCCAAGAGTGCTAAGCTGAGATCTGCAGCCAGCACTCAAGTGGGAGAGGAGCTGGCATTCTCAGGGTACTGAGAGGGAGCATGGCTCCAAATGCGAGGAAATACAGAGGAGCCATGTGGCTGAGCAAGAGCCCACTCACAGGCCATTTAAGAGCCATCTGTGAGTTTGCAGCCCAAACTTTAAAATCAAAAATACTTTGTTAGTATACTCCCCCGTAAAACCATGGATGGAAACTTAGCCACAAATAAAGACCTTGCACACCACTTTGGCCCTCTGAAAACATCCAGAAATGAAGTCAACTGACTGTACTCAAATTACATCACAGTTAAAGGATCAGCCCACACAAATGAGAAAGAACCAGCACAAGAATAATGGCAACTCTAAAAGCCAAACTGTCTCCATATCTCCAAATGACCACACTAGCTCCCCAGCAATGGTTCCTAACCAGAAGGAAATGGCTGAAGTGACAGACATAGGAGTCAGAATCTGGGTGGCAACAAAGAGCATTGAGTGAGATGAAGGAGAAAGTTGAAACCCATCCCAAGGAATCTAAGGAGTGAGTAAAATGATTCAAGAGATGACAGACAAAAAAGCCATTTGAAGAAGAACCAAGCCTATCTGGTAGAGCTAAAAAATCTCACGGTAAGAATTTCATAGCACAATCAGAAGTTTTAACAGCAGAATAGACACAGCTGAGGAAAGAATCTCAGAGCTTGAATACCATTTTTCAAATTAACATTGTCAGACAAAAATAAAGAACAAAGAAGTGGCCAGGCGCGGGGGCTCACGCCTGTAATCCCAGCACTTTGGCAGGCCGAGGTGGGTGGATCACGAGGTCAAGAGATCGAGACCATCCTGGCCAACATGGTGAAACCCCATCTCTACTAAAAATACAAAAAAAAATTAGCGGGGCGTTGTGGCACCATGCCTGTAGTCCCAGCTACTTGGGAGGCTGAGGCAGGAGAATCACTTGAACCCAGGAGGTGGAGGTTGCAGTTAGCCGAGATCGTGCCACTATACTCCAGCCTGGTGACAGAGCGAGACTCCGTCTAAAAAAATAAATAAATAAAATAAAAAAGAAATGTAAAAAATGAACAAAGCCTCTGAGAAATATGGGGTTATGTAAAGAGACCAAATCTATGACTCATTGGTGTCTCTGAAGGGGAGAGAGAGTGAGCAACTTGGAAAACATATTTGAGGATATTGTCCATGAAAATTTCCCCAATATCACTAAAGAGGTCAACATACAAACACAGGAAATTCAGAGAACCTCAATGAGATAGTGTAAAAGACAACCGTCCTTAAGATACATATTCGAGGATGTAGTTTCATTTATGTCATGAATCTCATTTATCGATTTGTGTATGTTGAACCAACCTTGAATCCCAGGAATAAAACCTACTTTATTGTGGTGGATTCACTTTTTGATGTACTACTGAATTCAGTTTGCTAGTATTTTATTGAGGATTTTTGCATCTATGCTCATCAAGGATATTGGTTTGAAGTTTTCTTTGTTGTTTTGTCTCTACCAAGCTTTAGCATCAGAATGATGCTGGTGACCTCATAAAATGAGTTAGTTCTTCCTCTTCAGTTTTTTGGAATCGTTTCAGTAGTCTTGGTCCAAGCACTTCTTTATATGGCTGGTAGAATTTACATGTGAATTTGTCTGGTCCAAGGCTTTTTCTGGTTGGTAGGTTTTTTTTTTACTGATTCTGCAACTCAGTTCCTTTTTATTTATTTATTTATTTTTGAGACAGAGTCTTGCTCTGTCGCCCAGGCTGGAGTGAAGTGGCATGGTCTCGGTTCACTGAAACTTCCACCTCCCATGTTCAAGCGATTCTCCTGCCTCAGCCACCCAAGTAGCTGAAATTACAGATTGCACCACCACACCCAGCTAATTTTTTGTATTTTTGGTAGAGACGAAGTTCACCATGTTGGCCAGGCTGGTCTGAAACCCAGTTTTATGTGCTCCTGAAAAGAATGTGTCTTCTACAGTTGTTGGGTGGGGTGTTCTCTCAAGGTCATTTAGGTGAAGTTGGTTGCTGGTGTTCTTCTGTATCCTTACTGATTGTCTGTCTCCTCCTTCTGTATCCTTACTGATTGTCTGTCTTCTCCTTTATTGACTCCCAAGGGTGAATGGTGATGTGTCTAACTTTAACTGTAGATTAGTCTGTTTCTCTTTTAGATCATAACTCTGTTTTGTATATTTTGAACCCTATTGTTAGGCACATGTGTATTTATTTAGGATTGTTATGTCTTCTTGATGAAAGGACCCCTTTATCATTATGTAATGTTTCTTCTTATCTCTGGGAACATTCCTTGTTCTGAAGTTCTGAACTCTGTTTATGATGATATGAATACAGTCTTCACAGCTCTATTTTCACTAGTATTTGTTAGATATATCTTTTTCTCAGCTTTTAAATTGAGATGCTCAGACCATTTGCATTAAAGTAATTGCTAATAGGGTTGAATTTACATCTACCATCAAGTTACTTATTTCTCTTTGTCCCATTTAAACTTTGTTCCTTTTTTCATCTTTTTCTGCCTCATTTGGGTTAAGTGTTTTTATGATTGCCTTTTATCTCCACCATTTACTTATGAGTTAAATTAATATTTAACGGTTTTAATATTTTCCTCAATGTTTACAATATACATCTTTGATGTTTCACATTCCACCTTGAAATGATACTATTCCACCTTGAAATGATACTATTCTATAAGAACCTTACATCCTTGTGCTTCTAGTTTCTCCCTCCCAAAATGTTGTGCTATTGCTGTCTCTAACAGAGATCTATAACATCCACTTTGTTATAGATCTCACAATACATTAATTGTGTGACCATTAACTGAATGGTCAGTTGCATTTTAAAGTGATTATGAATAAACATATTTTAAATATTTCCTTCTTAATTTATTTTACCATTTCTGGTGCTCCTCATCTTTTGGGGTAGATCTCAATTTCCATCTGTTGTCAGATTCTTTCTGTGAAAAACAACCTTTAGCATTTCTTGTAGCACAGATCTGCTGCTGCTGAAGTTTCAGCTTTTGCATGTCAGAAGAAGTCTTTATTTTGCCTTCAGTTTTTAACGTAATTTTGCTGAATATAGATACTAGGTTGAGAGTTTCATTCCTTGCTTTAACGATGATATTCCATTATCTTCTGTTTTAAATGGTTTCTGACTAGAAATCTGGTATTTCTTCCTATGTATTCAACAGTTCCTTTTTCTGACTGTCTTTAAGATTTTCTTATCTTTGATTTTCAACAGTTTGACTCTGATGTGTTTATTACTAATTTTTGTTTTTATTCCGCTTGAGGTTTACTGAGCTCCTTGGATTTGTAGATTGTTGATTTTCATTGTCTTTGTAAAATTCATAGCCATTATCTGTTCAAATGTTTCTTTTTCCACTTCTCTCTGTATTTTCCTTTTTGGACTCTAAGTACCCCAGTGTTAGAACATCCATGTTGTTTCATTATTCCTATAAGCTTGTTCTGCTTTTTTTTTCAGTAACTATTTTTCTTTCTTTGTGTGTTGGTTTGGATGAGTTCTAGTAACATATGTACAAGTTTATGGATTATTTTGTCAGTTGTATCTAGTTGGCTCCTCAGCCCATTGAGTGAATTCTTCATCTCTGATATTACAATTTTCTTCCTAGCATTTTCATGTTACTCTTTTCTATAGTTTCCGTCTCTTCGCTGAAATTCTCTACCTATCCATGCATACTGTCCACTGTTACCACAAAATCCTTTAACATATTAACGTAAGTATCGTACAATTTCAATCTGATAGTTGTCAGATGGGGTCTTCTCTGAGTCTGGGTCTCTTGATTGCTTTATTATTCAACAGTGCCTTTTTCCCCCCTTGGATTTTTGGTGTGCCTTGTCATTCTTTAATCAATCACTAGACATTATAAATGGAAGAACAGTAGAGATTGCAGTAAGTATTATTTATACTTTGATATGGGCACCCTTCTTCTCTTGCAAATATACATTGTGGGTAATTGAGTCAATGTAGTCACTGGTTGAGCTGAATTTGGGATTTGGGTTTGCTACTTTTATCTTAAGTGCACCAAGGGTTTAAATTCCTCCAGTGATGGGCTACTATTAATATATTTTGCTTAGAGTGGGGCCTGGGATGTTGAGGAGTTTTCTCAGTGTTCCTAATCGATTCTCAGATTTCAGCAGTCACTGCATGCCTGCACTGCAGAGGAGATAGCTTCAGACACATAAACTAACCCTACAGATACTCTGCTGTTTCTTGTTACTGAATGCCCAGCTTTTGGTGGATGAAGGCAAATGCACTATCTCATGGAACAACTTCAGTCTTAGGCAAGCTGTGTACAAGTAGGCATTGAAAGGAGAGATTTCTCAGTGTTCTTGCCCCTCCTTCTCATGGAACTTGTATCTGTGGTGAGTTTAAAGAGGAAGAGTAGTAGACTTCTGCTTTGCTGCAATGCAAAATGCTGGGCACTAGAAAATTCCCCATCTCTCCACCAAGAGAATAAGATTTGGGCCTCTACCCATTCTTGAGAAGCAAAGGGTGGTTGCCTGCAGTCTTAGAGGCAGGACCATTTCCTGACCTATCCTCCAGAAGCTGAAAGAGTTTGGTCTTGTAGGAGCAGTGATATAGAAAAATTTGCAAGGGTTTCATGTCTGCCCCCCAAGACAGCCAATCACCACCTACAGCCTGCACAGCCTGATACATGGCACTCTGGTCTCCTGCCTTGTTCTCATGAACACCCAGAAGAGGTCTATGCAAAAGAGCATGTGCATGAGAGCCACTGTGACTGATAGGCACTCTCATCTGTTTTATGGTGTCCAGGTTTTAAAGAAAATCTCTCTAAGAACTCCTTAAGCTTCTAGAATGCTATGAATCTATTGTTTTTTTTTATTGGCATGTCCATCTACCTGCTAATATAGAACAGAGCATAGTTGGCATTCTCAGAGAAGACTGTCCTGTTTCTGTCACAGATTTCTTTCCATGCTTCTCTGTTCTCGAAATTACCCAGCTTGATTTCTTCTTTTTGAATTTCAGCACCGACGGAGCAAAGCCGCAGGGTCCAGGACTGCTACCATGGTGATGGATTGAGGATCATTCTCCACCACTGTCACAGGAAGGACATATCAGTCTTGGTCCTCTGTGACACCACACCAGCATCAGAGGACCACAGAATACTACCCAAATGGGTATATCTTCAAGTTTTACCCTAAGAGAAACAGCCACCCACTTACATTTCTCTTGGAAGAGCCATGCTTCCAGCTAACATTTTAAGACCAAATTTCTCTCTGACCTGGGGTGTTGGGCAGAATGTCTCAGGCTTCTTTCTTTGGGCACAGGGTCTGAGAGGAGAGAAATCTCAGGCTGGCTTTCTTTCCTAATAGTTTACAGAAGCAGCAGGCTGGTGAGGTCCCATGAACAGAAAGCTCAGGAGAACACATGACTACGTGCTTAGAAATAGTACCATTCCACAATGCCCACTAAAGACCAATGTGATCATTCAACCAGGGAATTCTGTCATTCTAATCTCCAAGCCCTGAAGTGAAGGTTGTGTTTGCCATTCTCATCTTGGGTCCCAAGTAAAGGATATCTATATTGACATCCAGATCTTCCAATCAGTTTCTCCTCTAACCTGTACAAACACACTGGGTCCTGAGCACAAGGTGTCTGAAGAGCTGTGTGTTGCCAGGACTTGAGGAGCAAAAGTAGGAAGGCTGCTGAGAGTTAGGAAATATAGAGATTCTGAAGAGTTACACATGCAGGAAGATGGACAGAAACCCATTTCTGACCATGCCAGGCTTTCTGCCATGAAGGATTAACAAATACATGGGAAAAGTGTTTTTACAGGTTGGACAATAGACATGATAGGCCTAAGAGAATTGAGAAAGGGAATCAAAGGAGATCAACCCCATCATTAGCCTGGCATTCTTCCTGGAGACCCTTGTTGGACGGAAGGGCAAGAAGATGGAGCCCAAGCCGACCATAGCAGTCTCGCTGAACTGAGGAGAGAGACTGAAGTTTGTGATGCCTCAGGCAGCTGAGGTGTTCTAGGCTGGCTAAGATTGAGAAGGGATTTATGGAGAAAGGAGATCCAGGAATATGTATAGAAGTCTCCTCAAGGCTTTGGCTAAATAGAAAGCTGCGTATGCACAGGGAGAGGTTCCACAAAGAAAGGAGGATAAAGGACAGCTACTGGGGAAACAACAACTGCAGGGGAACTGTGAGCTCAATGGAGATGCCAGAGCTCACATAGCACTGGGGGATATTTGAGTTCTGATCACTCTGAGAGAGACACCTCAATGAACAACTTGGGCATTCATTAGAAACCAAAGAAAGCCATATTGTGGGAGTAGGATCATTGTATTCCTAGAGTAAAGGCAACTCCAGAAACACTCAAGCAAACTTTTTTCCAAGCAACTATAAAAGGATCCAAATGATCTCCAAGTAAATTAACTGCCTTCCAGAAGAAAACTCAACCCTCCTTAGAGTTAAGGAACAAAGTCTAGTTGCTCAGTTATGTGGCTTCCTCTACAATATGTGACCTCAATTAAAGATTTACTAGACACACAGGAAGCATTTAGTGTGATCCATAACCAGGAGAAAAATCACTCAACACAAACAGACCCAGCAATGATAGAAATGACGGCATTGGCAAGAATATTTAAAATGTACCTATGAGAACTGTGTTCACGGATGTAAGGAAAACCTGACCATGAGAGAAACAATTGCAGAATATCAAGAGAAAGAAAAAGAATTAAAGAGCCAAATAGAAATTAAAGAACTGAGAAAAGGCAATCTGTAAGGAAGAACTCACTGGATGGCCTTATCATCACCTTAGACATTACAATAGTAAAAGTAAACTAGAAAATAATTCAATAGAAACTAGACAAACCACAGGATAGACACACTCTCTCTCTCTCTCTCTCTCTCTCTCACACACACACACACACACACACACACACAAAGACTGAACCAACTAATCAACAGAGCCTCAACGACATCTATGAAAACATCCAAACATTTCATATACATGTTAAGCATGTCACAGAAGGAGAGGAAAGAGATACTGTGACAGAAATTATACTTGAAGCCATGATGGCTGACAACTTTTCAAATATCCAGAAAACAAGAAACTGTCACAGAGTCAAGAAGCTCAATGACTCAGATATAGAATTCTAAAGAGGAAAAGTCTGTGCTCTACTGGAGTACATCATAGTTAAATTGTCCCAGTTCAAAGCTAAGAAGAAAAATCATTTCTAGAAGCCAGAGGAAGGAAAGAGCCTTTAATGTAGAGGAACAGTGACAGAAAAAGGCTGATGCCATCTCATCAGCAACAA
Source organism: Homo sapiens (assembly GCF_000001405.40). Lineage (NCBI taxonomy): Eukaryota > Metazoa > Chordata > Mammalia > Primates > Hominidae > Homo > Homo sapiens. The sequence continues at coordinate 160,908,070 of NC_000006.12, forward strand.
TGCAAGTCAGAAGCCATGGAATCACATCTTTAAAATGACAAAAGAGAAACAGAAGATCAACCTAGAACACTATGTCCAGAAAAAAAATCCCTTGAAAATGAATTTATACAAAGGAATATTCTGTACCTCCCCCAAAAAAACAAACAAAAATCTAAAAGCCCGTCTGATTGGCAGGTTCCCATAAGAAAACATGTTAAGGGCCAGGTGCATTGGCTCATGCCTGTAATCCTAGCACTTTGGGAGGCCAAGGCAGGTAGATCCCTTAAGGTCAGGAGTTCAAGACCAGCCTGGCCAACAGGGCAAAACCCAATCTCTACTAAAAATACAAAAAAATTAGCTGGGTGTGGTGGCGCATGCCTGTAATCCCAGCTACTTGGGAGGCTGAGGGAGGAGAATTGCTTAAACCCTGGAGGCGGAGGTTGCAGTGAGCCAAGATCACACCACTGTACTCCAGCATGGGCAACAAAGGGAGACTCCCTTTCAACAGAAAAAAAGAAAAAAAAAGGTGTTAAAGTCAGGCATGATAGCTCACGCCTGTAATCCTAGCATTTTGAGAGGTCGAGGTGGGCAGATCGCCTGAGGTCAAGAGTTCCAGACCAGCCTGGCCAGGCTGGTGGAACCCCATCTCTACTAAAAATACAAAAAATTAGTCAGGCGTGGTGACACATGCCTGTAATCCCAGCTACCCAGGAGGCTGAGGCAGGAGAATCACTGGAACCCGGGAGGCAGAGGCTACAGTGAGCTGAGATCGCAGCACTGCACTCCAGCCTGGGTGACAGAGCGAGACTCTGTTTCAAAAAAGAAAAAAAAAAGAAAAGGTCTTAAAGAAAGCTATTTAGGTAGAAGGAAAATAATACCAGGTAAAAACCTTAATCCATACTATGTAATGAAGAAGCCTGGAAATCGCAAATGTCAAGTTCAATGTAAAAGATTATATTCATCTAATTTATTAATGTCTTTGACAGATCGACTCATTGAAGCAAAATGATAGCAATGTATTTTTTTAACATATGTAAAGGTAAAAGTTTGAAAACAGTAGCATCAATAATGTTGGGAATCCATGGAACTATACCGTTGTATGTTTGTGATGTTATCCATGATGTTCGGTAATATTAATGTGTGGTTGAATGCAGTAGGTCCGAGAGGGATACTGTGAGTCCTAGAGCCACCACCAGCATTAAAACATAGAGGAATATATAATAATTAGACTATTCCATTATCCAAAAGAAGGAACGAAAGGAAGAGTACAGAATAAAGAAGATGAGGTCCAGGCAGAAAATGCATAGCATCCTGACCGACTGAAACTCAGCCCCCTCCTAAGTGAATTCCATGAAAAAGGATGACACACTGCATATGAAAGGCAGAGATAGTTGAGTAGAGTAAAAAGCAAAGCCCGCTGAGGTTCTTTTACAATCAGAGCCCTTTAAATGGAAAAGCTGGATGGAAAACCAAAGTATGGAAATGCTATACCTGGAACACGTGAAGCAGAGGAAAGCTGGAGTGGCAATGTCAAGATCAGACAAAGGAGATTTCAGGACAAGAAATAAGACCAAGATCAGAAGGACATTTCATGAGTGAAAAGGGTTCATCCATGAAGACGTACCAAGGCTAAATGTGTTGTACCCGAATAAGAGCCCATCTGATATATGAAGCAATGACTGACAGAACTCAAGAGAGAAATAGATAAGCCAATAATCGGAGTTAGAGGTGTCCTTGCTTCTCTTTCACTGTAGTTATAAATCTTCCCCAAACACAATAGACTAGAACAAATATGCAAAAAATCAGGCAAAATTCTATTATCCCCTTCACAAAATGTTGACCTACTAAACACTATGCCAAACTGCAGAATACACATTCAAGTGTGCATGGAGCATTCGCTGAGGTATACCTTACATGTGGCCTTTCAGCAAGTCTCCATAGACTTAAACGAATTAAAGAGTGTGTTTTCTGAACACAACAGAATGAAGTAATGTATGAATAAGGAAAAGTTTGCCGACTTCTCAAAGAATTGGACGTGAAAAGGCACATTTCAAAATATTCATTGAGACATAGAAGAAATCACCAAGGAATTTAGAAAAGCTGTGAACTGGATCAGAAAAGAACACAATCTATCCAAACTTGTAGGATGCAATGAATGTTTTTAGGGTTTTCTGTAATGTTAGATGCTCTTAGGAGAAAACAGACATGTAAAAATCAATGATTTCAGACTGCAGTTCTCAAAGTGTGGTCTGGAGAAACCTGAGGACCCTTGAGATACCTTCAGAGAGAGTCAATAAGGCTAAAACACTTTACATTGAGAAAACGAAGATTTATTGGCCCTTTTCACTTTCATATTCTAGCAGTGGTACAGTGGAGTTTTCCAGTGGCTCCATAATATGTAATGGCATCATCTCTCTGATGGCTAAGAAAATGGGTGATTATCAGTTTTTTGTGTTAAAGAATTTTCAGTTTTGGTTTCTTTCTTTTTTTTTTTTGAGACAGAGTCTCACTCTGTTGCCCAGGCTGGAGTGCAGTGGCATGATCTCAGCTCAATGCAGCCTCCACCTCCCCAGTTCAAGCGATTTTCCTGCCTCAGCCTCCGAGTAGCTGGGACTACAGGCACGTGCCACCATGCCTGGCTAATTTTCTGTATTTTTAGTAGAGATGGGGTTTCACCATGTTAGCCAGGATAGTCTCCATCTCCTGACCTCATGATCCACCCGCCTCAGCCTCCCAAAGTGCTGGGATTACAGGCATGAGCCACCACACCCAGCCCAGTTTTGGGTTTTTTTTTTTTTTTTTTTTTTTTTTTTTTAAGAGATGGAGTCTCGCTCTGTCGCCCAGGCTGGAGTGCAGTGGCATGATCTCGGCTCATTGCAAGCTCTGCCTCCCGAGTTCATGCCATTCTCCTGCCTCAGCCTCCCGAGTAGCTGGGACTACAGGTGCCCACCACCATGCCCGGCTAATTTTTTGTATTTTTAGTAGAGACCCAATTTCACTGTGTTAGCCAGGATGTTCTTGATCTCCTGACCTCATGATCCACCCACCTCGGCCTCCCAAAGTGCTGGGATTACAGGTGTGAGCCACCACATCCAGCCCCAGTTTTGGTTTCTAATGCAATAAATACTCGTCATGTATATTGAAAAATGAAAGCTCCTTAGGATCCCTGATACTTCGTAAGAGTCTCAAGGGGTCCTGTGAGCAAACACTTGACAGTTGTTGATCTAAGATCACAGCTTAAGTATCTAGACAAGGAAAAGCAAATAAGATTCAAGGAAAGTGAATGGAAGGAAATAATCCAAACTAATTACATCCAGTGGACAAGAAAATAGACCATCAAGGGAGTAAATCCATGAAACAGAAAGTTGGTTCTTTGAAAAGATCCATATGATTGTCCAAAATCTGGCTAAATAGATGACAGACCCAGGAGGGAGCACAACCATCGCCATTAGGAGTAACAGGAGAGGCACCATTGCTGTAGCATCCTCCAGGTCTGAAAGCTGAGAAGATATTGAGAACAACTGTATGTTATCAACTCAAGAACATAGATAATATGGACCAATTCCTTAGGAGAACAACAAATCAGCAAACTAGATGCCTAATAGATCACATAGTCCTGTAGAGAGACACAGAGAGCTAGAAGGAGGTACATTTGTATATGCATAAAACAATACAAGACACACCTCAAAGTCTTTCTCGGTTAATCTGGAGGAATGTATTTGGCAGAAGGTGGAAAGAGGGTATTCTGATCCTTTCTTTTACACATTGATGTTCTCTCTCAGTTTTCTTCTGGAGCATAGACGACTTTGGATGTGTTATAATAAGAATGATAATCTGTCTTTGAAATGTTCACAGTTGTTTTGAAGTTGAGGATTGTTTGTGCATGTTATGGGACCTTTAGTGAGAATATTTCAAAGTCGCTTGTTAACATTTTGTTACAGCAAAACATAGAGGGTGCCAGATGCCCTTGTATCTTCTCCCAACTCTTGTGACCTGTATTGTTTTGGAATTTGCAGCAGCCTGACCAGGAACAACTGCAAGAATCCAGATGCTGAGATTCACCCTTGGAGTTACACCATGGGTCCCAGTGTCAGGTGGGAGTACTGCAGCCTGATGCAATGCCTGGTGACAGAATCAAGTGTCCTCATGACTCCCACTGTGGTCCTAATTCCAAGCACAGAGACTCCTTTTGAACCAGGTAAGAAGTATGTGGCCAGACAATCACACCCTCGGACATTGGGATGAAAAAAGTTGCAAAATCTTAGTGATACAGAAGACTTCCAAGCGGCACGGGAAGTCGAATGTGTACTCAGGGTCAGCCAATGGGAAGGAAGCCTCAGCGCCTTCTCTGGGAGAACCAGAGCTGTGATGTTTGGCACCCCGTGAGAGGGTGGTGTCATTAGGAAGCATGCAGACCCTCCAGGGCGCTGGACTTACAACTCCCCTGGTTATTCAACAGATCATTTCAGTGTCCTAGCCAAAATGGATATTCTAACCTCCTGCCAAAGTTGTGATGATTAACCAAGCCCATCATAAGCCGTTCCTGGCATTTCTTCAACTGGGCAGCATTCGTTGCAATCTTCAGCTTTGCCGATTCGGAGGAATGCAGTTTCTGAGCCTGTCATCCTTGAGAAACCTAACACTACCTCCTTTGTTCCTCATTGTCTTGGGTCTACATAGTAGTGCATACCCAGCAAATGTTCCATCTTCTTAGCCTGCCTCCATCTTAGGCAGGCCCTGCACACCTAGGCTTTCAGGGGAGGAATTTCTCGGTATTCTTGCCCCGCCTTTTCACAGAAGTTGTATCTGTGTTAGTCTTTGAGAAGAAAAGTAGTGGACATCTGCTTTGTTGCAATGCAGGATCCTGGGCCCAAGATTCCCTGTCTCTCCTCCAAGGGAATAAAATTTGGGCCTGTACCTCTCACTGAGAGACAATGTGTGTTTGCCTGCAAGTCCTAGATGCAGGACCATTTCCTGCCCCATCCCCCAGAAGCTGAAGGCTTTGGCTTTGGAGGAGCAGTGGTCTAGGCAAGTAGGCCAGGGTTTCATGTCTGCCCCCCACTGACAGCCAGTCTCACCACCTACAGCCTGTACAGCCTGATGCATGCCACACTGGTCTCCTGCCTTTTTCTCATGAACACCCAGAGGAGGTCTATGCAAAAGAGCATGCACATGAGTGCAATTTTGAATTATAGGTACTCTAATATGTTTTTCATTCCCTGATTTTAATTGAAATATTTATGACAACTTACTAAATTTCTAGAATCCTTTGCATCTATTGGTTTTTTTATTTTACATTTTGATTTGTGTGCTAATATAGAAGCGTGAAAAGTGCTAATCCTCAGATTATTCTGCTTCATGTGTCATAAATTTTTTCACATTTCTTTTTTTGTAGACAATACTGAGCTTGATTTCTTCTTTTTAAATTTCAGCACCAGCTGAGCAAAGTCCTGCAGTCCAGGAGTGCTACCAAGGTGATGAACAGAGCTATTGAGGCAATTTTTCACCATATCACAGGAAGAACATGTCAGTCTTGGTCCTCTATGACCCCACACTGGCACCGGTGGATTTTACTGCACTATCCAAAAGCGTATTTCTATCATGTTAGCCATAAGAGGGACAATAGTCAACTAAAATTTCTCTTAGCTGACCCATTCTTCAAGCTAACTTTCCAAGTGATCTCACAATAAATTAGTTGCCCGCCAGAAGAAAACCTGTTTAGAGGTAAACAACAAAATCAAATTGCTCATTTATGTGGTATCCACAATGTGTGATATAAATTTAAAAATTTGCTAGACATACAAAAAGCATTAGTGTGATCCATAACCAGGAGAAAAACCAGTCAACACGAATAGACCCAGAAATGATAAAAATAATGGAATTGGCAAGGAGACTTAAAATGTATGTATAATAATTGTGTTCAAAGATTTAAAGCAAACATGAACAAGAAATGAATAAATGAACAATATCAAGAGAAAGAAAAATTATAAAAGGGCCAAATCAAAAGTAAAGAACTAAAAAAAAGGCATCTCTGTAATGAGAAAAATCACTAGATGGCCTTAAAGATAAAGCTAGCTAGAAAACATTAGGTTAGTGCAAACCACAGCACACACACACAAAGCCTGAGAAGATAAATAAACAGAGCTTTAAGGACATCTATGAAAATATCAAAACATTTAGTATATGTTTAAAGCAAGTCACAGAGGAGAGGAAAGAGATATTGGAACAGAAAAAGTACTTGAAGCAGTGATGGCTGAGGACTTTCTAACCATGGAGAGAATGACAAATTCACATAGTCAAGAAGCTCAGTGGATCAGATATAGAATTTTAAAAAGAAGAACTATGATTTATTTGACACATTATAGTTAAATTGTCCATAATCAAAGATAAAAAGTAGAATCTTATTTGAAGCCTGAGGGAAAAAACATACCTTTATATAGAGTAACATGACACAAATGAGTGATGCCACATTTGTTTGTTATTTCAAGCTTCCGAACAGGCAGTGCTGTTCTCATCCCTGGTGTACAAGGAGGGAGCTGAGGCCTTCCACAGGTTTTGTGCCTAACCAGGGGTGCAGCTGGTAGACACAACCCATTCAGGTCTTAGGTTGCAAACTTAAGCTATGTGTACACGTTAGCATATCCACCTCCAATACCAAACTGTGTCGAAATTATAACATAAGTGAAAATATTTTATTATCTTCAAAATTTCTTTATTCCCAGAAAACTCATGTTTTCTGTAATTATACATTGTTATAAAATATTAATCTTTCCCCCAAATGACTTTATGGTGCATTATTATATTCTCATTCTCACAAAATAAAGCAAGAGTGGTAGCATTAAGTGGGAAGTGTCCATCTTAATTTTAATTGTTGAATCTTTACTTTTCCCTGGTGTAAGGCTAGAGCAACCAGGTAGTATATATGCTTTAAAACTTCTATTTTAGTGTTCAAAGATATTTAGGAATAAATCAATTGACCTTTCTATTTTAGGTGTGAAATAAGGACCAGAAAGCATCATTCCTCTTTCCAGGCAGTGAAATTCCTTCCTATTCATTAACTGGCAAAAGAGTAGAGGTGGGAGCCCAGTGGTCTTGGGTGGAACGTCCTGCGGAATTCCCTGGGATTGAGGAACCATGCAGAACCCTCAAGAAGAAACCACGCTGGGCAACAAGAGAGCGGCCCCAGGTGAGGGATGGGGCGACCTAATCGCTTTTCCTGATTTCCTGTTTTAGCCTCACTCTCTTCTCTCCTCAAATTCTTACCACTCCCTTTATCCTTTCTGACTCACCTCGTGGTCCAGTTCATTAAAGGGGACAGAAGGTGGATGCAAGTTGAGAAACCAGCAGTGGGCAGACGTTTTATTTTTAATGTGATGTATTTCTTAGAGGGCTAAGGTTGGTGTGTTTGAGAAAGTACTTTGGGAAAAAAAAAAACAGACTCAACTAACATATAATGTTTCTAGTATGTGTTCATTTCAACTTAAAATATTATTTTAGCAGTTCCCTGGATAAGGCACCTCAGGAATGATGTTATCAGAAATTCTATATCCACATTATTTTCTTTTTCTTTTTTTTTTTTTTTTTGTCATTTTGGTTTTGACTTGGGTGGTGTTGGTATAGCTTTTGCCCAACTTTCCCCTGGTAGTTGTTGGATGCACTCAATTCTACAAATGTGATTTTATAAATTAGTTGCCCTCTCAATGGCCTCCTGGCTGTACATTCTTCCCTACCTTCATAATCCATCAGCATCGTGAAAGCACAGAGGGACGTTGAGCAGAGCTCTGTGCTGGCGCCACCGCACTCTGTAGCCTGTAAGAGAGCAGCAAAGAGGAATGTGTTGCTCAGGTATAGACAGGTGTGGGTGCATAGAAACTTCCGCTATGGCATGGCCCTTCATGTCCAGGGTAGGCATGAAACAATGGACTATTCCAGATTGTGCATAGGAAACCACACTGCACTCTTAGAGGGATTTTTGCTCTAAAGACAACTAATTCAAAATAAGGCGCTTTCCTACCTGAAAGAACGGCATGAACTGAGAAAAGAGATACATATATAGAGATATCTCTGTGTACTACGATCAGGTTGCACATATTCTGAGATTTATGTATTCTTATTAGTTCAATTCCTTATTTATTGACCACTTACTGTGTACAATATTGTATTAGATTCTTTTAGGATTACAGTTGACCCTTGATCAATTTCGGGGGTTGGCACACTGACCATACACAGTAGAAAATCCAGGTATAACTCTGACTCTCAAAAACTTAACTACTAACAGCCTGCTGTTGACCAGCAACAGTTAATAACATGTATTTTGTATGTTATATGTAAGATATACTGTATTCTTACAATAAAGTAAGCTAGAGAAAAGGAAACGTTTGTAAGAAAATCATAAGGAAGAGAAAATACATCTACAGTACTGTTCTGTATTTATCTGTACATTAAGTTTACACTGCCTGTTTACAAGATGAATTGTCTGTCTGAAATGGAAGCAACCCCAGCTGCAGACCTGCCTCCAGTACGTATCAAGCAATTCAACTTTCTCTTGTAATGTCACGACTTTTCTCTGCTTCTTGGGAGCACTTCCAGCATCACTAGTGCCACTTCATATGGATCCCATGGTGTTATTCAAGGTTTACAGTACTGCACAAAACAGGAGGAAAAATACATGCCAACAGGGAGAGGGCACTTTTTACCGTGGTGCACAATTCACTTGAGACAAACTGCTCAAGTCGGGATGTTCAGCATCACAGAACGTTTTAGGTGGATACTCGCAACACCTGAGCTCATTGCAACAGCAACAGGAGGAGGCTACGAAATTATTACAGAGGTGCAGTGTGCACTATGGTTAAGTTTATGCAGTTACAATTTTTTTTTTTTTTTTTTTAGACAGAGTCCAGCTCTGTCGCCCAGGCTGGAGTATAGTGGCGCAATCTCAGCTCACTGCAACCTCTGCCTCCTGGGTTCAAGCAATTCTCCTGCCTCAACCTCTGGAGTAGCTGGGATTACAAGCACTTATCACCACGTCCAGCAAATGTTTGTATTTTTAGTAGAGATGGGGTTTCACCATGTTGGCTATGCTGGTCTCAAGCACCTGACCTCAAGTGATCCACCTGCCTCAGCCCCTCAAAGTGCTGGGATTACAGGCGTAAGCCACTGTACCCAGCCAATGCAGTTACAATTTAATCCTTCATCTTTATGTTTGTTTACACTTCTCTCGACTGAGAATAGCACAGCGTATGATCTGTGAGTGTGTGCATAAGTTTTGATTACTTTTAACTTTTTGTAATAGTTTTGTGTATATTTAATGGTAGTAAATGATAGACTAAGTATCTAAATACACTTTATGCATTCATGACATACATAACTTTCTCTTTATTTTTTCAATATGTCTAGCTACATGGTTTGTCTTTGAGTATTTTTCAAATTGCAACAAAACTCCAAAACATTTCAGATCTGTGTTGTTCAAGGATCAACTATACATCTAAAAAGTACAAATCAGTCTCTACCCTTCCCCAGCCTCTCTACCCTAAAGAAACTACAGGAAACTTTCACGCACCAGATTTGTGGAGATTCTGCTGCTGCACTTGTAGGAGGCATAAGAATATTCAAATAAGATTGGAGACAAATTGAATTTCCTTAGCTCTGCCCAGCATGAGGCCTGCAATCAAGATTCACTGAGGTCCTGTTATGAAAGAATGGATGTCTCTTACAACATTAAAATGGTACATTCCTTGCAAGTATTTACAAAGAAAGTCATAAACACTGCTGGGCGTGGAGGCTCATGCCTGTAATCCCAGCACTTTGGGAGGCGGAGACAGATAGATCACCTCAGGTCAGGAGTTTGAGACCAGCCTGGCCAACATGACAAAACCCCATCTCTATTAAAATACAAAAATTAGCCAGGTATGGTGGCACACACCTGTAATCCCAGCTACGCAGGAGGCTGAGGCAAGAGAATCACTTGAACCTAGGAGATGGAGGTTGCAGTGAGCCAAAATTGTGCCACTGCACTACAGCCTGAGTGACAGAGCAAGACCTGGAAAAAAAGAAAGAAGGAAGGAAGGAAGGAGAGAGAGAGAGAAAGAAAGAAAGAGAAGAAAAGAAAGATGAAGAAAGGAAGGAATGAAGGAAGGAAGGAGAGAGAAAGAAAGAAAGAAGAAAGAAAGAAAGAAGAGAAAGAAAGAAGAAAGGAAGGAAGAAAGAAGAGAAAGAAAGGAAGGAAGAAAGAAAGGAAAGAAAGAAAGAAAGAAAGAAAGAAAGAAAGAAAGAAAGAAAGAAAGAAAGAAAGAAAGAAAGGAAGGAAGAAAGAAGAAAGAAAGAGTCATAAATACAAGGAAAGGTCAACCTCACCAGGAGGTGAGGTGGAGTTCACCCTTCTGTCGCACCTGAAGTGGAAACTGCAGCCAGGTCACAACTTCCTAGGTGACGCACGTCCGTGCAGGCTGGACTGCATTGCTGGCCTGACATTTGCACCTGCCAGCTCCTTGCCACACCCACGTTCCACCTTCCTCAAGCCCAGGCTCTGCTACCTGGGAACTGCCATTCCAGGCCAGCTCGTTTCATCACCATGAACATCTCTGAATAGCCCCAAGAGGACAGTATCATTTCCAAATGAAAACAGCAAGAACTTAATTAACCTATTAATTAATCTATTAAGGACTCATACAAAGCATCCCTCTGACACCATAAGGGATTTATGCAAGTTTATCTGTGTCCTCAATGCCAATGTGCAGATTGTTTTTATGGCTGTTTCAGTGTATTAGGGCATATCAGCGAGGAGACTTGTACTAATTAACCTGGAGGTGGCCCTTCTTTCTTTAGTTGCCCTTTTCCACATATTAGCCTTTGTTCATCAGTCCCTGGGGCCATGTGATGAGACGCTTATCAGCTCTCATGTCTGGTAAAGAGATAGCTGGCTCAGTTAGCACAGTGGTTAAAATGTAATCCACTAGGGGACACTTTCTTTTTCTTTCTCTTTTTTTTTTTTTTTGGAGATGGGCTGGCTTTGTCACCCAGGCTGTCTTTGTCACCCATGCTGGAGTGTTTGTCACCCAGGCTGTCTTTGTCACCCATGCTGGAGTGTTTGTCACCCAGGCTGTCTTTGTCACCCATGCTGGAGTGCAGTGGCACAAACACAGCTCACTGCAGCCTTAACCTCCTGGGCTCAAGTGATCCTCCCACTTCAGACTCCAGAATAGCTGGGACCACAGGCACATGCCACCATACCCAGCTGTGTGTGTGTGTGTGTGTGTGTGTGTGTGTGTGTGTGTGTGTGTGTGTGTGTGTTTATTTTCTGTAGAGACAGTGTTTTGCCATGTAATCCAGGCTGGTCTTGAACTCCCAGGCTTGAGGTATCCTCCCACCTCAGCCTTCCAAAGTGCTGGGATCCCAGGTGTGAGGCACTTTGCCTGGCACTAGAGGACACTTTTTAAGTGAGCCCTGACTAATTTGAGGCTCAGTGAAGTGATATATTTTTAATTGAGTTGTGCTTGAAAAAGTCTAGATACCTATTCATCTTTGAAAAAAATAATTTTCATTGGCCATCTCCTCATCAGACGTGTTACATGCTTAAGACAAATATTAGCAGAGAAGAAGATACTCAGTCCCAGATAACTTAGTAGCCTGCACTGAGGCGGCACCAGGACTCACCAGAGGAGAAACCAGGGTCCTTCTGCCCTAAGTTCCAGACCCACCATGAATAAAACAGAGATGCACCCAATCATCCTTCCCATCTCTCACATTCACTGATCTCTCAGCTCATTCAGAAAAAAATCCCATCTCACACTATGTGGAGGAGACCAGTCATGCAGAAAACATTTAAATCTTTTCAGAAAAGCAAATGAGTGCACACACAAAAATGATGAAATCTGAGCAAGGTCTCAGGACTAGTTTCTGACATTGTGCCAATGGCAACTTCCTGGTTTTAATCATGAACTATAGTTACATAAGATATTGCCTGGGGAAGGTGGGGCAACAGGTACAGGGACCTCTCAGTACTATATTTATAACTCCTTGTGTTTATAATTATTTCAAAACAAAAATTATGTATTTGGATGTATGTGTATATGTATGTATTTGCATTTATATGTGCCTATATTTAGATACATGTGCCTATTTTTGGAGGACCTAGGATGATGTAACTGCTTCCATACTAGTTAAGAGAATTCCCAATGTCCAGGGAGAGTCCACAGTAAAAGAACTTCTAACTCAGGGTGTGGAACTCAGCCTTCGGCTGATTCTCGTGAGCTCAGAGGACACATGGGTGGGACAGAGAGGCCTCTCCACCACCACACTCCTTCCCTGGCTGGAGGCCAGATGGTTAAGGACTGATGGGTGCCAGAGAGCAGCAGCCCCCCAGAGTCCAGAACCCAGAGACTGGAGGAGTCCATGCCTGCTCCTGCCTCCCAGGTATTCAAGGGAGACCCACCATCTCCACACATCAGCAAAACAGAGGCCCTGAGTAATGACTTCGCCTTCCTCCTCTCCTCCTGCAGCCTGACCAGCTCCTGGGTGCTGCAATCCATAGCTGGGGAGGAGAGAAGGGAATGTCAGTGGAAACCACTTTTGCTATAAACGCTCATCCTTCAGATATTATTTCAGTGGGTACAGTGTTTAGTGCTGTGCTGGGTGCTGGGGAATCAAGAGTAAATAAGGGGCCCCCTCTGCCCTCAGGGAGTTTTTGGTCTCATGGGTTTGGGGCAATGCAGGTCTGTAAACTGGAATTGTAAAAGTGAAGTGGCCCAGGTCCCATTTGTTATAGTTGTGCACAGAGAGACAGTCTTTAGAGGTGAGGAGACACTTCCCAGAGGAAGTGACACCCAAGTTGAAACTTAGAAGACAGCCAGAGGGATGAGAAAGGAGAAGAATTCCGAGGAGTCCTAATTAGGCAAAAGGAGTCAGGCTGGTGGGACTGAGGGAAAACAGAAAGAGTAAGCAGATGAGCTGTAAGTCTGCCTTCCTTCATGGTCCAGGACCATAGCCCTCCTGCACAAATAACTCACAATCTTCCTGTGCCCAGCTATCACCAGGCCCTCAGCTGATAGAAAAATGCAGGTTATCCCACTGCAACCTTGGCGTTGTCAGTACCACACAAAGCCCTCTTCAGCACAGTACTGCACAAAGCCCTCTTCAGCACGCAATACAAGCAACATCCTATAAAACCCCCAGCAAGCCTTTGTCTCTTGGCAGTCAGCTCCTCTCTTGCTGGCCTGCCCGTTGCTCCCTTGCAACATATTTTTATACTTTCTTTAATAAATCTGCCTTTCTTTATCTACAACTGTCTTGGTAAATTCTTCTTACTGCCCATGGGATACTGGCCTCAGATAGTTACTGATCAGCAGCTACACATTCCCTAAGCAGAAGAAATACATATGCAGGGTCCCAGAGGCAGGAGGTGCAGACAGATCAGAGGAATTTGGCTAATATGGGAAAATGGTCCAACTGTCCAGGCCTCTCACTCTGTTTCAAGAAGCTTAGACTTCAACCAAAAAAAGGCAGGGACTACTGTTACTGAAGACTTTTAAAATCCAAGGGTGGCCTGATCCCTCTGATTGTAGCATGATGAGGAGATTAGAAGAAGCACAGGGTAGGAGGTGAGAGATGAAAGGGGCTGAAGGAAGGCAGTGGAGAAAGAGAAAAGGGAATGGATTAGGGGGATGTTGAGAAAGTAGAATTGACATGATTTTGTGACTGATTGAAGTGGGGAATGAAATCAAGGATGCTGCCTGAATTTCTGTCTTGAACATCTGGTGGATAGTGACATCATTCATTAAGAAGGAACACATAGGAGCAAATAAGATGAATTTCTCTGGGGACAATGTTATGTTTGGGAACTTGTGAAATCCCAAGTGGAAATTTCCATAAAGGTGTTGGATATCCTGATGTAGAGGAGGGGGTTGGCAAACTACAGCCCATGGGGCAGCCCCTATTTTAAAAAATAAAGTTTTATTTACAGCCACACCCATTCTTTTACCATTGTCTGTAGCTACATTTGCCCTACCTTAGCAGAGTTGAGCAGATGTGACAGAGATGGTACAATGACGATAAAATATTTGCTATCTTTCGCTTTACAGAAAAACTTTGCCAATTCCTGGTCTAGAGCCTAGGAAAGAGGTCTGAGCTGGAGATGTGGAATCTGCAGTTTTCAGCAGGTAGGTGGGATTGAAGCAATGGGGGTGGATGAGCTTGCCCAGAGAGAGAAAAAGAAGCCCTGCGGTAAATCCCTCAACAACACAAGGACCCAGAAGAAGAGAATTCTGTAGAAATGACTGAGAACAGTTAGCCAGAGGGGAAAGTTGACAGTGTAAGTCCAGAGAAGTCAGCGAAAGTGAAAATTGTAAAAAGGTGGGAGTGGTGGTGGGTACCAAAGACTTGTGAGAAATAAAGTGAGATATACCCCGTGTGTGCCAGCAGGTAAGGGCAAATGAGCCCAACATAACTGTAATAATAACAATCTAATGGCCCAAGCTCCTGGCAAAGCCTACTCTGGCTACTGCTACAACCAAATATATACAAAACTCAGTAAAATAGCATATTTTAATTAAACAAATTCCTGACCCATATCTGTAATACTCTTTTCCCAACATTTTTGGCCATGTATTCTTTGGTTGCTTTTTCAATAATGTTGTAATATCATATTCTATGAGAGAAGAATAATAATCCATTTTGCCTCTAGTATTTTATTATTGATGGATTTAAATTTGTCTTTCAGCTGCATAACTCATGACTGATAATGAAAGATAAGTTTTCAGGATTCTTGGCAAATTTAGGAAAACCTCCACCAAACTATTTTTGTGTAGGAGCTGTAAGATTTGGAATAATTCCCAGAGGGGAGGAGCTAGAGCTAGACTTTTTTCTAGCTTTGTACATTTCTATTGTTCTTATTTAACTTTTATTTTAAGTTCAGCAGTAGAAGTCCAAGTTTGTTACATATGTAAACTTTTGACATGGGGGTTTGTTGTACAGATTTCATCACCCAAGTATTAAGCCTAGTACTCATTAATTATTTTTTCTGATGCTTTCCCTCCTGCCACACTCTGCCCGCCAATAGGCCCCAGTGTGTGTTGTTCCCTTCTATGTGTCCATGTGTTCTCATCATTTTGCTCCCACTTATAAGTGAGAACATGTGATATTTGGTTTTCTGTTCCTGTGTTAGTTTGCTAAGGATAATGGCCTCCAGCTCCATCCATGTCCCTGCAAATCCACATGTCATATGACACAATCATGCATATTTACATTACACCACCACGTAAGTCAGCACAAGGGAGGCTAAGACTATTCTGAAAGCCATTTTACAAATGTACACAGAAGTGACTCCATACCACATAAATAAATCCCATGGAACCCAAACTCAATGACTCAACTCAATTCCTCTTTTCCTGGATCCCAAAAATGCCCACATCCACTCGACCACTCAACATGAAGAGGTGGAGAGCAAGTCAGGGCAGAAAGAGATCAGAATTTTAGCCAATTACAGTTAAAATGTCTGCTTTTGCAAACTTGACCAAAGTAAATGACCAAATGGACACATTGCCAGGGCCCTTCCAGAGCCTCAGAAGGGGCCTGTTGAAGTTGTCTATCGCTACCCTGTTGAAGTTGTATATTGCTATGGGATGAATCATCCCAAAATATAGTGGCTTAAAATAAGAATTGTTTTATTTATCTCACAGTTCTGGAGGTCCGCTGGGCTTGGCCAGGTGATTCTCTTCCTTGAAGTATCTCAAGAGGATACAGTCGGATGGTGGCTAGGGCTGAAACCATTTCAAAGCCTTCCTCACTCACATCTCATGGGTGAACCCAGCTGTCGCTGGAGCCTCATCTGGGACTATTGGCCAAAACACTCAGAGCTTTTCCATGTGTCTGGGCTTCCTAGCAGAATGGCAGTTGGTTTCCAAGAGAATTGGGCTGAAGCTAATTCTCCTTTATAGTCTAGCCTGGAAATCCTCAAGCATCATCCGCATCAGAGTCACAAGCCTGCCCAGATTCTAGGGAAGAACACATAGACCCCACCTTTCCATAAGAGGCATATGGACCTCACCCTGTAAGAAGGAGTACATGTGGCTGCCATCTTGAAAAATACAATCTGCCATTGGATTCATGCAAGGAAGGGGCCCTGAGGCTGAGCATTACTAGCTTCCCTGTACATTGGTCTCTATTTACTCTTGTTCTATAATTCATACCCTTCCAAAGCTTGCCAAAACTGCCCCCCTAAAATCCCTCCGTCTCCCACCTTGACACAGATGAAATCCTTGAACTTTGTTGCCCAAATAGCTTCAAGAACATCTGTGTCTACTGAAGGTTGAGCCAGAGCTTAGTCTTCTCCCACTGGCCAGTGGGGTCAGTGGTGGCATGAACCCCCAATATCACTGTCTCTTTGTTAGGTAAAACAACTTGTATATTTATGGCAGGTGGTACCAGAGCAATAAGCTGTGGCTGCCACTGCACACAGCAAGTTAGGCTTCTGCTAATTCAGAGGATAGCCCCTCATCATGTTCAGTCGGGGGTGTAATCACACGCAGATTTTTTGGGACTCAAAAGTGTTGCAATCTTTAATTGCCATAAACCTTCAATCCTTCCACAAAGCATGCTGAAGGATGAGCTTTTTGGCACTGTGGTTGCAGGGTTGGCATGGATTTTTGGCATTCGTCCCACCTCCTATCTCAAACCAGTAGTCCCTCCAACCTGACATCATGGTGTTGGGGGAGACCTCTGAGTGCTTGGCACAGCCAGCCATATGGTATGGAGCCACTTCTGTGGCTGTACCACCATCTGACAGTAAGCTCACGAGAGACCCCAAGGGAGAGAACTGCCTGGTCACGCACAGCCAACCTCCTTTTCCCCTTAATGGAACATTCTCTCAGGAAGCCTGGCTGTTTCTAACAAATTGATCTTGGCCCAGAGCCATCCCAATTTGTACAAGATTTTATATCCCTGCACCTCAATAGTCATGAGAGAGCTGGCTTCTCAGTATTTTTCTCCCAGGCAGACTGCTCTGGCCCACCAGGTGAATCAGTAGCTGTGTTTAGATGGTTAGGAGGTTCCTTCCAAGTTTAAAACAGTATCTAAGCCTCAACTGTAAATCAATTGGAGAGACTCCCCAACCCTGATCACCAGCACTGTCAGAGCTCCAGTCCCCACTCTACCAAGATGTCCTTTTAGAAAGATAAGGACTAAAAAATGCTCACTGAGCTTGGTGATGACAGTCAGTAGAGGGGTAGGAAGAGAAGCCATGCCATATGTCTCAGCCCGTTTGTGCTGCTGTAACAAAGAGTCACAGTCCTTTATGGATTACCCAGATTACAGCTTGGGTAACCCATATGGGACAGAAATGTATCATCTCACAGTTTTAGAGGCTTCAAAGCCCCCAATCAAGGTGCCAGTTATTACAGTGTCCTCACATGGCAGAAGGCAGAGGGTAAGAGGATAAACATTGTGTCTTCACACAGCGGGACAGTGAAAGAGCCTGAACCCACTCCCACAAGCTCACTTAAAAACAGCATTAATCAGCCTAAATTACCAAAAGTCCCCGTCTCCCAACACTGTTGCATGAGGGATTAAGTTTGTACCATGTCAGGCAGGGCACACTGTAATCCCGTACTTTGGGAGGCTGAGAGAGTGGATCCCTTGAGCTCAGGAGTTTGAGACCAGCCTGGGCAACATGGGGAAACCCTGTCTCTACCAAAAATACAAAAATTAGCTGAGTGTGGTAGCACACACCTGTAGTCCCAGCTATTTGGGAGGCTGAGGTGGGAGGATCACCTGAGACCAGGAGGTCGAGGCTGCAGTGAGTCAAGATTGCACCACTGCATGCCAGCCTGGGCCATAGAGTGAGACCCGGTCTCAAAAAAAAAAAAAATAGTTTGTAAGACGTGAATTTTGAGGGACACATTCAGACCACAGCGTCACAGCTGAAGAATCAGTGGGAGACAAAATGGAAACAGTACATTAGGATAACTCTGAAGAAATGTGTCTGCGATGAAGTCAAAAGAGAAGGAGCTGGAGGCCCCGGGAGTGCAGACGGCATTTCAGTGCTCACAGGAGAGCGTCCGTAGATGGCGAGGACAGAGAAGGGGTTACCAGGGGTGAGTTCCTGAGGAGAGCAGGGCTGTCACTCGAGGAAAGGTAGTCCTGCGGGGAAAGGAGAAAGGAGTTGGGCGGCGACAGGGAGTCCGCTGTCCTCACAGCAAGAAACGGAAGGAGGTTCCCTCAGGGCTCTTTTGCCTCCCGGAAGTACAAGGCGCCTCCATCTTCACAGCATGAAGGGTGCGGGATGGGGCAGGAGACCGGAGGGAGTTGAGGTTTTGCACCCGATAAGGAGACGCATAAAGGGAACGGGTGGGGACACAGGGCCCCTGCAGCCTCAGGAGGATCAGCAGTGGCCTGGTTTACTCGTGTCGTCATTCGTCGTGGGCACCTTGTCCCCGGGGCCGGCCAGTTACTTGGCCTCCTGGCTCATCATCCTGCCGGAAGCATCTCCAGCTTGGGGATGTTGGAGGGTCCCTGGCCCCACCTGGCTGGGGATGGAGTGTGTGAGCTGCCCTGGGCTGAATCTGGGTGCGGGAGGAGAGGGGACTTAGAGGAGAGAGGGACAGTGAACTTGGTTTTGTGTGACTGGCTGGAGTGACAATGACAAACGACTGTGTTTGAAATATTAACTTTCCTTCTCTCATCAAGAATTCATTGTACCTGCCTGGCCCCTGAAGGTGACTGAGTTTGCAGTCCCTGATGTTATGGGCTGAACGTTTTTGTCCCCCCAAAATTCATACGCTGAAGCCCTGACTCACGATGTGCTAGTATTTGGAGGCAGGGCCTTTGGAGGTGATGAGGGTTAGATCAGCTCATGAGGGTGTGGTTCCTATGATGGGATTAGTGCCCGTAACGGAAGAGGAAGACAGCAATCTACACACATACACTCACACACCCCGTCCCTTTCCCTCCTCGCAGAAGCCGAGGAGATGCCATGTGAGGGTGCAGCGAGGAGTTGGGCTGTCTAAAAGCAAAGAAAGAGATTGCATCAGACACCGCATCTGCTGACACCTTGTTCTTGGACTTCCAGCTTCCAAAACCGCGAGAAATAAATGTCTGTGTCTAAACCCCAACCCTACCACCTCAACTGCCGTGTGTGGTGTTTTGTGATGGCAGCCCCAGCTGACTGAGACACCTGGTTAGACCGGAATAAGCAGGTGAGGAGTACTGGGGGAGGGGTGAGAGAAGAAACTAGACTGGGCCAGATGACTGGGGGAGGGGAGACTGCCTTGCTAAATATTGTGCATTTTAACCCAAAGGCCATGACAAGCCACCAAGGCAGGGTATGCCACAAACTTGGGGAGCCCCAGACACCTTGGAAAAGACAATGTCATTTGTGGAGAAAATGCCCCCCCCCCCACACACACACACTTTTCAAAGATCATCTGACCTTTATGAAAGAATAGGTCCTCTGGTTCTTAGTGTTAGAGCTCAGTAAGCAAAGGTGGTTGCTTGAATTTGTAAAAGCCCTTTTTTGAATCCAACAGTACCTGAGTCCCTTAAGAGTGGCCAAAGAAGAAAGAATCCACTGAGTTGACATTCCAGTTCAGTAAGTTGTAGGGACATTGTTTCGAAAGAATCTGCAGGCAAGGGAACACCAACCCGTAACTCACCTCAAGCCCAGTCCTTTCCAGAACCTTTGCCTGTCTGTGAGCAGTGATGGATTATTGCAAATGTTGTTTAGTTTCATTTGACCTACTTTGCAAAACCAAGTTTCAATATATGAGTAACTGTGGGAGCTAAGGCCACTGCATTTGATCTCTCTGAATATCCTTTCTACCCACCAGGCTGCAATCGGTAGCAGTCACCATTGAACATCCTTGAAGCAATTCTTCCAAAATTACCTTGCATCAAAGACTGCACAAGAACTGCTCTAAGCGGAAGGACTGATGTCGGCAACCAGGGTTCCACCAGGGGCTGCAGACAGCCCTTGACCTTCAGGTGGGAAGGTGTCACTGAGTTCAGACCCTCTGGCAATCCCTAGCTATCAACATTTTGATAAGAAAATAAGTGGAAAGGTAAAATTAGACAAAGACATTATTACCTTAGAGGACAATTAAGCATTGGTGGCTAATCTAAACATATCCTTACAATTTTTATTTTAGTACTAGCTATGATTTATTGTAGGTTTTCCATCTGTGCCAGGCACTAACAGCACTATGAATTGCCTATACCACGCTACAATCACCAGATTTTTCTCTTTTATTATTACCACTTATAGATCAGGACATTGAAACTCATTTGCCCAAAGTATGCCAATGGAAATTGGTGGAGCCAGGTTCTAACCCAAATATCTAGGTCTTAAGTGATTACTTTTAACCACTGTACTGCAATTTACTACTGGGAGGAGGAATAATAATATCTATACTTGATTGATTAATGCCTACATACTAATCACTTTACTAAGCTCTTTTTTAAATGTTTCATTTCATTTGTAATTGACACATAGCAATTGTACATATTTATGGGGTTCAGTGTGATGTTTCAGTGCATGGATATATTGTATAATGATCAATTAGGGTAATCAGCATATCTATCACTTTAAACATTTATCCTTTCTTTGTGGTGAGAAAATTCAAAATCTTCTCTTCTAGTTATTTTGAAATATACAATATATTATTATTAGCTATAGTCACCCTAGTGTGTAATAGAACACCAGAATTTATTATTTCTGTCTAACTGGAATTTTGAAACCATGGACCAACTTCTCTTCTCTCCCCAACTACCTTCCTCGTCCTCTGGTACCACTATTCTACTCTAATTATATGAGATCAAGCTTTCAAAAAAAAATGCTTGTCAACAAATAATAATTGTACATATTCATAAGGTACATAAGATGTTTCAATACATATAATGTATAGTGATCAAATCAGGGTAATTAGCATATATGTCATCTCAAATGTTTATCATTTATTATATATTTGTGTTGGAAACATTCAACATCCTCCTTTTAGCTATTTGACACTATTCACTATACTACTGTTGACATTCTACAGTGGTGTAGAACACTAGAACTATTCCTCTTTTCAAGCTGTAATTTGTAGCCTTTAACAACTCTCTCCCTATCCCTCCCTTCCTGGGACCCTTCTCAGCCTCTAGTATCTTCTGTTTACTTTTTACTTCTTGAGATCAACTTCTTTTAGCTGCCACCTATGAGTGAGAACATACAGTGTTAATCTTTCTGCTCCTGGCTTGTTTAACATAATGTACTCTAGCTTCATCCATGTTGCTGCAAATAATAGGATTTCATTATTTTTTATAGCTGAATAGTATTCCATGGTATGTATATGCCACATTTTCTTTATCCATTCATGTGTGGTCAGACAACTAGGTTGATTCCATGTCTTGGTTATTGTGAACAGAGCTGCAATAAACCCGGGGCTGCAGATGACTCTGTGATATAATGATTTCCATTCTGTTGGATAAATGCCCCGTAGTGAGATTGCTGGATCATATGGTACTTCTATTTGTAGTTTTTTGAGGAACCTCCATACTGTTCTCCAGAGAGATTGTACTAGTTTAAATTCCCACCAACTGTGTAGAAAAGTTCCCTTTTTTTCTGCATCCTCACCAGCATGTGTTATTTTTTGTCTTTCTGATAATAGCCATCCTAACTGGGGTGAGCTAATACCTCATAGTGGTTTTGATTTCCATTTCGCTGATGATTAGTGATATTGAGCACATTTTCATATATTTGTTGGACATTTGTATGACTTCTTTTGAGAAATGTCTGCTCAGATCATTTGCCCGTATTTTAACTGCATTGGTTTTTTGCTGTTGAGATGTTTGAGTTCCTTGTATATTCTGGATACTACTCCCCTGTCCAATTAGTAGTTTACACAACACTAGGCACCATACCAGGTTCTTTACACAGGTTATTTCATTTACTCCTCACTCCAACCCTATGAGGGAGGTGCTATTGCTACTACTCTCATTTTACCCACAGAGAGTTCAGCAGAGGTTCATAACTTCCCCAAAGTCACACAGCTTTTGTGGCAGATGGAGCAGGGTTGGATGCCAGAGCCAGGCCCTCTAGCCCCACGCCTCGCTGCTGCAGGAGCCCGCCCATCTGCAGTCACTGCCACAGGCATCAATGGTAGTACCCAGATTAAGGATTTATTGAGCACCTACTGTATTCACAGAACTCTGATCAGTCTGAAAGCCCAAGCAATGAAGCAAACAAAGCCAAGGAATGATAGAAATCACAGAGTTCAAACCAGAGTCTAGGGCCTGAAGTGCACAGCATGGGCCAGGTTAAAGTGAATGAAACATTCCTATTTTGATCCTTTTCATTATTTATCATTCATACCCATAAATACCTTTAAGGGGATTAGTTTTAGTTGCAAAGTGAACAACAAGTAGGCAACAAATTAGCTCTTCCAACATTTTCTTCTCCTGAAAAGGCTCTTTGAAAGCCCTGTTTTGCAGAAACTTGCTCCTTTTGCATGACGGGTAAATCGTAGGAGACCTGGTAGATTATGCTACAAACTTAATGTGGAAAGGTTGCTTCATCCAAGATCCTGGAGTTTTCGTAGACATTGTCCTGATACTTCCCCTTGGGCAATACCAGCGCCTGCAGGCAACAGCTCTGACGCACTTAAGACTTAAATACTACCCACAGAAGTGCTGGCTTGGCTGGGAAAACCTTTTGCTAAATAGAAGAACAACATTTTTTTTTCTTTTCTGGAATTTGCAAACAGCATTTATTCTCAGCCTTGCCTTCCAAACGTTCCAATTGGACATTGCTGGGCAGCGTGGAAGCAGAAGCGAACGTCACCCAGGCCGGCAGGGGGCGGCACACCCCACACTTCGCTGCGCGCCCTCGCCTCCTTGGGAGGGAGTGTCCAGCTCCCAAAACCTGTCGTGGGTTTTGTCCCAAGTGACTTCAGCCAGCAGATGGTTCAAGTCCTGAGGCTGCAAAATTCGGGGTGGAAGGAGTGGGGCGTAAGGCTGAGAGTGGGGAGAGCAATCCAGGGGCGCCAGGGTGGGAGCCGCAGCGGGCCCGCGGCCGCCCGGAGGACACTGATGCTTCTGGAGCTCGCGAAGGGTCCCCCGCGGGAGAGGAACAAGGCCGCTTGCGCTCCGCAGAGGCGCAGGCACGGGGCTGGGGCCCGGGGCGGGGGCGCGGGTGGGCGGACCCCTCCCGCAAGCCCATGATGGCCAGGCCAAGGCCGCTGGGAAAGGCAGGACGCTCGCCCATGCGCTGCCAGCTGGGCTTTTCTCCTTCGCCCGCCCTGTGTTCCAGGGCGCGACCCCGTTCGGTCCAGCCGCTGGCTCCGGGGCTGAACCCCAGGTAGGTGGGTCGGAGCCCCTGAGAGAACTGGGGCTTGAGGGCGTTTCTGCTTCCAAGCGCAAGCACGGGGAGCCCTGATGCTCCAGCCCCTGGACACTGGATTGGAAACTGGCAAGGGTAGGAGATGTTTTGCAGGAGGCCGCCCTCTGTCTTCCTCTGTTCTAACACCTGCTGGACACAGGGAATCCTGATACCTGTATTTTTTACCAGAAAAAAATTCTAACAGCAGAAAAGTCAATGTGATGGGTTACGCCTCCTTAACGTGCCCCATTTGACCTTGTAAGCTTCCTTCCACAGGCTGACCTTGTTTTGTGCAATCAGTGTGATCTTTTGTCAGCTATGCAAAACAGTTTTTGTTTACTGAATCTGGTTTAAAAGGCAAGAAGTTGCTTCCCATAGGGCACTTTGATCCTTGGTGTAGGGCACTTTGATCCTCGGTGGAAAGGGATGTGTATGCCTTGAAACATGGAGAGTCACATGCGATGCTTGGTTTTGTGTAGAACTAACATGAGATAATCTTTTCACTGGTTTTCAGAATTGTGGAGAATTCACTTAGGAAAATAAGCATGTGTATCAATGGATGACTAATATGGACATGTACTTTAACTGATTTCACAGAAGCAGTGCTCCTGATATTTTGAGACACTAATTTTATTTGGTTCTTCTTTACCATATGATCAATTAGCTGCTTACCTCATAAGTTACAGAGGGAGAAGGTACTTCCTGTTTTCTCTTTATATCTCTTGTCCCTTATTTAAAGAAGCAATAGGGCACGTGCAGTGCCTCACTCCTGTAATCCCAGCACTTTGGGAGGCCAAGACAGGAGAACTGCTTGAGCACAGGAGTTCAAGACCAGTCTGGGCAACATGGCAAGACCTCATCTCTACAAAAAATACCAAAAAAATTATCCGGGTGTGGTGGCCGCACGCCTGTAGCCCCAGCTACTCGGGAGCTGAGGTAGGAGGATGATTGAGCCCAGGAGGACAAGGCTGCAGTGAGCCAAGATTGCACCACTGCACTACAGCCTGGGCAGCAGAGCGAGAGCTTGTGCCAAAAAAAAAAATATTTTTTAAAAAAAGAAGTAATAAAGGAGAAATCTTTTTGCTACGTTTAACTTATCCTCCACTATTCTAAAGTTTAAGCTTCAATAATTTATAAGTACAGTGACATTAACACTTTAAAGTTAGCTGATATGCTGATATGCTTAAAAACTGGAAAATATTTCAATTTTAAAAAATTCTAGGTGGGGTATGGTGGCTCATGCCTGTAATCCCAGCACTTTGGGAGGCTGAGGTGGGTAGATCACTAGGTCAGGAGTTCGAGACCAGCCTAACTAACATGGTGAAACCCCATCTCTACTAAAAATACAAAAATTAGCTGGGCATGGTGGCACGCACCTGTAATCCCAGCTACTCAGCAGGTTGAGGCAGAGGAATCGCTCGAACCTGGGAGGCGGAGGTTGTAGTGAGCTGAGATCATGCCGCTGCACTCCAGCCTGGGTGACAGAGACTCGGTCTCAAAAAAAAAAAATTCTATTCCATCTAGTAATTGACGCATATGATACATATGCATACATGTGTAAAAGTGTATATCTATTCATATGTATATGAAATAGGTATATTATACATTGTACTGAGTTTATACTTTTATTGGCCTTTTTGACTTTAAAAGTGGGTTATACAGACCTGTGAAACAAGCAGCAAAAATGAAAACACTGCACTTTTGTGTGATTCCGTAAACACACAAGAATAGTGGAGGTCAGGATCCATGCTGCTGGCCAGGCGTTAAGTTGGCGTTATCAATAATCACTGTAGTCTCTGTGGGTGCTGATGAATCTGAATTCCCCACATGTCGTGCCTTGGGAATTGCTCCTTTGACTAGATTACTGTTTTGAGGTTGACGCTGTTGTGTTTCTTACAAGAGTAGAAAACAAGTGCACAAAAATGGATTTAGGTAAGTGGAAATTTAATGCAGTCACAGCAGTGCCCCACACAAACAAAGTGATCTACAAATGTAGCCTTGATAAGGGTCCCTCGCTAGGCCAGTCGTCACCTACTCCCTCTGCTGGATGACAGCCCTCCGGTATCTGCACTCAGCTCCCACGTTCCTGGAGCTTCTCTTCTCAGACTGCGCAGCGCCCAGAGCTTCAGGTCTCTCCATATCCTTCATCAACACCTCCTGAAAGCGTGAGACCTTGGAGAGGCCCATGTCCTCCAGGTGTGGCCAGGAGAGCTGAGACAGAGCCCTGGGGTCCTTTCTTATCAACCCTTGTTTGGGTGTTCTATTTCTGTTAATCCTCCAAATAGTCATTTTAAAAAATACCATTCATTTTAAACCGGTAGCTCAGCTGTCCTGTGTAAGCTCCACACCCTCAACTCTATAGCTGATTACGTAGTTCATTATTAAGCTAATTTAAGAAATGTTAAATATATGAAAAAGTACAGAGGGAGCAAACATTGAAGCAACTTACCAACTTTCCCACAACCTGCAGTTAACAATTGTGAACATTTTCTCCTTTTAACTTTTCCCCAGTCCCTGGAACTTTCTGGCTCATCCTCTCTTCTCTAACCCAGTCTCCCTCAGCCACAATCATGATGAAGTGTGTACTCATCCAACCTGTTTTGGAACATTTAAAAATTCTTTTAATTAGTTTTTAAAAGTCAACTTTATATATGCTCATAGTTTAAAGAGTCAAAAAGTTCTATAAAAAAGCTTGAATTTCCTTCTCCCCAGAGGCAAACACTTCGACTCTTTAAACTGATCCTGTTGGCATTTACCTTCAAATCTCTAAATAACCTTCTGACCCTGGTACTTCTTTTTTCTCTTTTAATCATTACCTATGGACTTCCCACCCTGCAATATTAGGATTTAATTCTCTTTAATGTACCATCAACAATATACCACACACACACACACACACACACCATACATACACTGTGTGCACACATACCGCACACACCACACACCTCACACAACACACCACACACCCACAACACACCATACACCATGTACACACACAGACCACACACAGATCACCCACCACACGCTGCACACACACACCGTACATACACTATGCACATACACCATGCTTACACCATGCACACACATCATATACACACCTCACACATACCACAAATCCATAACACATATACAGTCACACCATGCACACCACACAGCATGCACACACACACCACACCCACACAGTATGCACACCCTACTTTTCATTGTTTGAGGAACCTCCATTCTGTTTTCCATAATGGCCACAATTTACATTTCCCCCAACAGTGTGCCAAGCTTCCCTTTTCTCCGTATCCTCACCAACACGAGTCATCTTTTGCCTTTTTGATAATAGTCATTCTAGTAGGTTTAAGGTGATATTAGAGTGTAGGTTTTTCTTTTGTTTTGTTTTTTATTTTTAGAGATAGGTCTTACTCTGTCACCCAGGCTGGAGTGCAGAGGTGCGATCATAGCTCACTGTAACTTCAAACTCCTGGGTTTAAGCAATCTTCCTGCCTCAGCCTCCCAAGTAGCTAGAACTACAGGTACACAATACCATGCCCAGCTAATTCTTTATTTCTTTATAGGGACAGGGTCTCACTATGTTGCTCAGGCTGGTCTCAAAACTCCTGGCCTCAAGCAATTCTCTCTCCTTAGCCTCCCAAAGTGCTGGGATTATAGGCGTGAGCCACCATGCCCAGCCCATATATTTCTTTGATTTGCATTTTTCTGATGAGTAGTGAATTTGAGCACCTTTTTATATACCTGTTCTCCACTTGTCTGTCTTTTGTTGATAAATGTCTATTCAGGTCCTTTGCCCATTTAAAAAATTGGGTTATTTGGGTTTTCTTTTTGCCACTGAGTTGTTTGAGCTTCTTACATATTTTTGAAGTTAACCCCAATCAGATGTATGGTTTGCAAATATTTTCTCCCATTCCTAATGTTACTTTTTCGTTCTGTTGATTGTTTCCTTTGCTGTGCAGAAATGTCATGCAATCCCATTTGTCTATTTTGTTTTTGTTACCTTTCCTTTGGGGTCATATCCAACAAATCAATGCCCAAACCAATGTCAAGAAGCTTTTCTTCTGTGTTTTCTTCCAGTAATTTCACAGTTTTAGATCTTATGTTTATGTTTTTAATCTACTTTGAGTTATTTTTTGTATGTGGTGTGAGATAAAGGTCCAATTTCATTCTTCTCTATGTGAATATTCAGTTTTCCCAGTACCATTTATGGAGGAGACAATCTATTTCCCATTTTGTGTTCTTGTCACCCTTGTCAAAGATCAGCTGAATGTAGATGCATGGATTTATTTCTGGATTCTCTATTTGGTTTCATTGATCTTTGTGTTTGTTTTCATGCCAGTACCATACTGTTTTGATTACTGTTGCTTTGTAATATATATCAGAAAATATAATGCTTCCAGCTGTGTTCTCTGCTCAAGATTGTTTTGGCTATTCAGGTTCTTTTGTGGTTCCATATGAATTTTAGGATTGTTTTTCTTTTTTTGTAAATAATTATATTGGAATTTTCATAGGAATTGCATTCAATCTGTAGATCACTTCAGATGGTATAGACATTTTAATGATATTAATTCTTTCAATCCATGAACATGGGCTGTCATATGGTGTGTGTGTGTGTGTGTCTTCTTTAATTTCCTTCATCAATGTTTTATAATTTTCAATGTACAAGTCTTTCACTTCTTTGGTTAAGTTTATTCCTAAGTATTTTATTCTTTTTGGTTCTATTTTAAATGACATTGTTTTCTTGATTTTCTTTTAAAAATAGTTGTGTATAGAAATGATACTGACTTTTATATGTTGATTTTGTATCGTGCAACATTACTGAATTCATTTTATTAATTCCAACAGTTATTTTGTTGAGGCCCTAGAGTTTTCTACATATATGATCATGTCATCTGCAAACAGAGATAATTTTACTTCTCCCTTTCTGATTTTCATGCCTTTGCTTCTTTTTCTTCTTTAATTATTTCAGCTTGGTTTTAGAGTACTATGTTGAATAGAAGTGGTGAGAGTGAACATCCTTGCCGTGTACCAGGAAATCTTTCCATTTTCCACTCTTTGATTATGATGTTAACTGTGGGCTTTTCATATATTACCTTTGTTGTGTTGAGATAAGTTATTTCTATGCCTATTTTATTGAGTGTTTTAATCATGAGTGAATGTTGAACTTGTCAAATGTTTTTTCTCTATTGAGATGATCATGTTGTTGTTTTCTTTTATTTTGTTAATGTGGTGTATCACATTGACTGATTTGTGTATGTTGAACCATTCTTTTAATGTGCTGTGGAATTGGGTTTTCTAGCATTTTATTGGGGAATTTCACATCTGTGTTCATCAAGGATATTGGCCTGTAGTTTTCCTTTCTTGTGGTATCTTTATCTGGCTTTGGTATTAAGGTGATGCTAGACTCATAAAATGAGTTTGGAAGTTTTCCTTCTTCTGTTTTTTGGAAGAATTCAAGAAAAGTTGCAATTAATTTTTCTTTACACGTTTGATAAAATTTACCCATGAAGTCATCTGGACCTGGGCTTTCCTTTTTAGGAATGGGAGTGGGGTTGATGACTGATTCAACTTCCTTTTGTTATTGGTCTATTCAGCCTTTCTATTTCTTCTTGATTCAGTTTTGGTAGGTTGTATGTTTTTAGGAATTGATCCATTCCTTCTAGATTCTCCAATTTGTTGGTGTATAATCGTTCATAATAGCTCCTTATAATACTTTTATTTCTGAGATATCCATTGTAATACTTTTTTTCATTTCTAGTTTTATTTATTTACATTTCTCTCTTCTTTTCTTAGTCTAGCTAAGAGTTCATTGATATTATTTTCTTTTTCAAAAAGCCAAGTCTTAGTTTTGTTGTTTTTTCTGAGGGGAAGGGGGTTCTCTTATCTATTTGATTTACTTTTGCTCTGATCTTTATTATTTCCTTTCTTCTGTTAACTTTGCTTGGTTTGTTCTTCTTTTTCTACTTCTTTGAGATGTAAAGTTAGGTTGTTTATCTGATATCTATTTTTTTTGATGAAGGCATTTTTTGTTATAAACTTCCCTGTTAATACTTCTTTTGCTGCATCCCATGAGTTTTGAGATATTTTGTTTTCATTTTCATATTTTTAAAACATTCTTTGATTTCCTCTTTGACCTAATGGTTGTTCAGGAGCATGTTGATTGGTTTTCATGTATTTGTGATTTTTTTTTTACTGTTATTGATTACTAGTTTCATTCCTTTGCGATTAGGAAAGATATTTGAAATGAATTTGCTCTTCTTGAATATTTTAAGATTTGTTTTGTGACCTAGCATGTGATATATCTGATCCTGTGTGCACTTGAGAAAATGTGTATTCATTTGCTGTTGGTTGGAGCAGTCTGTGTATGTCTGTTAGGTCCGTTTTGTCTTTAGTGTTGTTAGTTCTGCTGTTACTGCTTTTCTGTCTGCATGATCTATCCATTATAAAGAGTACAGTATTGAAGTCACCTACTGTTATTGTATTGCTGTCTGTTTCTCCCTTCAGGTCTGTCAGTGTTTGCTTTATATATTTAGATGCACTTGGATGTTGGGTGAATATATACTTATAATTGGTATATCTTCCTGATGAATTGACCCTTTTATCATTATATAATGACCATCTTTGTCTCTTGTAACAGTTTTTAAAAGTCTATTTTGTCCGATGTAATTATAGCCACTCCTGTTTTCTTTTCGTTATCATTTTCATAGAATATTTTTTTCCATCTTTTCATTTTCAGCCAAGGTGTGTCCTTAAAGTTGAAGTGAGTCTCTTGTAGGCAGCATGTGTTGGATCCTAGTTTTTATCCTGTTCAACTACTGTATGTCTTTTGATTGGAGAATTTAATCCATTTACATTAAAGTAATTATTGATAGGAAAGAATTTGCTTTTGTTATTTTGTTAATTGTTTTTCTGACTTATGCCTAATTCCTTTGTTCCTTTCGTCCTGTCTTTCTGTTGTCTTTTGTTTAAAAAAAATTGGATAATTTTTGGAGTGGTATTCTTTGGTTCCTTTCTTTTTATCTTTTGTGTATCAACTAGACATTTTTTTGTTTTGGTTATCAGGAGGCTTACAATAAACATTTTATAGTTGTAACAATCTATTTTAAGTTGATAACAATTTAAGTTAGAGTGCATACGAAAACTACACTTTTACTTCTCCTTCATCCCATTTTGTTATTGATGTCACAATTTACATCTCTTTATACTGTGTATCCATTAATACGTTATTATACCTATATTTATTTTCAATACTTTTGTCTTTTATACTAAATTTAAAAGTGAAATATATACCATCATTACACTATTAGACTATTTTGAATTTGACTATATACTTACATTTGCCAGTGAGCTTTATATTTTCATATACTTACATGTTACTAGTTAGCACCCTTTTGTTTCAACTTGAAGAATTCCTTTATCATTTCTTTTAAGGGGGTAATTCTAGCAGTGATGAACACCCCCAGCTCTTGTTTGTCTGAGAAAATCTTTATCTCTCCATTTCTAAAGGACAGACTTTTTGTGTGTAGAATTCTTGGCTAACAATTTTATTCTTTCAGCACTTTGAATGTAACACCCCATTCTCTCCTGTTCTGCAAGGTTAATGCAGAAAAATTTGCTGATAGCTTATGAGGAGGGGAGCAGCTGTATGTGATGGTCACTTTTCTTTTGCTGCTTTCTAAATTTACTCTTTGTCTTTGACTTTTGCCAATTTACTTATAATGTGTTTTGGTATAATTTTATTTGGGTTGATCCTCTTTGGGGATTTTTGAGTTTGATATACCTGATGTCCATATTCCTTGCAAGGTTTTGGAAGTTTTCAGGCATTATTTATTTAAATAAGGTTTCTGTTTTTCTCTCTCATTCCTTCTAGGACATCCATAATATATATATAGTTTCCCTTTATAATGTCACGTAAATCCTGTTGACTTTCTTACTTTTTTTCATTTTTTTTCTTTTCATCATCTAACTGGATAATTTCATTGACCTGTCTTCAAGTTCACAAATTCTTCTCATTTTTATAGAGCCTGCTGCAGAAGCTCTTTGTTGCATTTTTTCCCATTTCATTCACTGCATCCTGCAGCTCTAGAATTTCTGTTTAGTTCTTTTTTTATGATTTCTAGCCTTTCGTTGAAATTCTTATTTTGTTTATGAATTGGTTTTCTGATTTTTGTAGATTTATGTATTCTTGTTGTCTTGTAGCTCACTGAATTTCCTTAAAAATGGTTATTCTCAATTATTTGTCATACAGTTCATGTATCTCCATTTCTTTAGGGTCGGTTACTGGAACTTTATTAGTTTCTTTTGATGGTGCCATGTTTGCCTGCTTCTTCATGATCCATACAGCCTTGTGTTGATGTCTGTTTATTTGAAGGAACAAACACTTCTTCCTGTCTTTACATACTGATTTCTGCAGGTAAAGACCCCCTGCCATGTCCTCAGACTGATGAGACTGCTTCCTGGATTGTAATTGAGTGAGATTGGAGTCGGGTCACATGGATGCTGCAAGGTCTTCAGTTGGATCCACCTGTTACTGGAGGGTGCAGGCAGGCAGGCAGGGTTACTGCTGGATCCCCAGGTGCATGGGACTGACTCTGGGACCATGATCAAGTAAGGCTGGAGCCAAGCTACAGAGACACTTCTTGGTCTGCACTTGAGTCCACAGATGGTAGGCCTGTTATCAGGGTAGACAGCTGTGGCTACTGCTGGGTCCCTGAGTGGGCTTCCACCTGGATGGGTGCCTCTGGGACTGTGGGAGAGCAGAGATGGAGCTGAGTCACAGAGCTGCTTCATGGTCTGCAGTCAGGACCAAGGTCGGCAGTCTTGTTACCAGAAGTGCTGATGGGTATAGGGTGCTCTCATGGTCCCTGGGCAGGCAGGCCTGCCTCCAGACCACCATTGAATGGATCTGGAGCTGGACCACAGGGCTGCATCAGGATCCAGTCAGGACTGAAGTCAGCAGGCCTACTACCAGGGGCACAGATAGGTGTCACTGCATTCCTGAGCAGGCAGGACTGACTCAGGACGATGGTAGAGTGGGGCTGGGGCTGGGCCACAGGCCTGCTTCAGGATCCACATTCAGGACAGGGGCAGCAGGTCTGTTACTGGGGGCACAGACAGGCATGGGTTATTCTGGTTTCCTTACCAGATGGAGCTGGTTGCAGGCTGCAACCAAACGGGGCTGGAGCCAACTCCGTAGGAGGATGGGGCTGCTTTGGTGTACAGCTAGGACCACATTCAGCAAGCCTACTACGGGGGTTCAGGTCTGCTTTCTTAAAGTACCTCTCCTCCGTCTTGGGCTTTACCAGGGTTTCATAACCTTCTACCTGGATCCTAGAGCTCCCACAGAGGCACTTTTGTCCATGGATGGCTGCCAGATTGTTGTTTGTGTCAAGGAGACGGAGGATGCAAGCTGGAGACCTCCTGTTCCACCATATTAATCATATCACTCCAATTTTTCTTTTGTTGCATGTGCTTTTGGTGTCATGTCCAAGAATCCTTTGTCAAATTCAAGGTCATGAAGATAAACCCTATATTTTCTTCTAAAAGCATTATGGTTTTAGCTCTTATATATATGTTCTTTTGCATGTGGCTATCCATTTGTCCCACCACTATTTGTTGAAAAGACTTTTTCTCCATTTGCACCCCTGTTGAATATCAATTGACTCAGTAATCTTAATATCTTGTATGTCTATAAATGTCTTAACTCTACCTTTATACCTAATTAACGGTTTGGCTGGGTAAATAGTTCATTTTTACTCAGAACTACTTTTTAGTTTCTGTGGCACTGTTAAGATGTCTTATGCCATTCTCATTCTTTATGCTTTGCGTGCAACCTGTATTTTCTCTCTAATAATTTGTAGGACTTTTTTAATGCTAGTACTCTAATACTTCATTATGACATACACTCATGTGGGTTTGCTTTTTGGGAGGGCCATTTAATTACACAAATTCACGTCCTTTAGTTCTAGAGATTTTTCTTCATCTTCATTATAAACACACATATACACACATACATATGCATACATGTGTTTCACTTTTACGTTGTTCATATATATAAATACACAGACATTATGACATCTCAGTGATATATACACACACATTTTGACATTTTACCCAAGAAAATATGGATATTCTTATACATAACCATGATACTCTTTCAACATACTTTTAAACATTAAAAATAATTCCGTAACATTATTTAATACCCTGTTTATATTCTAGTATCTCTAATTGTCCTCAAAATGCCTGTTATAGTCGTCATTGTTCTTTGAGTCAGGATCCAGTCAATATCACGTATTACATCAGGTTGTTGTGTCTCAATTCTTTCTTAATCTAGACTAGCCCTACACACACACAGGCACACACACACATGCACACATACACACATGAATACATACACACACTTTTTCTCATTGTTCATTAAATTTGATTTTCCTGATTAGCAGGGATTTTATGTTTTTTCTGTAGATTTCTTCCTACTAGCCTGTTGCAAATTTTTATATTGTGACTTGTTTTTGTTTCGTTTTGGTTTTGTTGAGACGGAGTCTCTCTCTGTCGCCAGGCTGGAGCATAGTGGTGCAATCTCGGCTCACTGCAACCTCCACCTCCCAGGTTCAAGCAACATTCCTGCCTCAGCCTCCCAAGTAGCTGGGATTACAGGCGCCCACCACCACGCCCGGCTAATTTTTTGTATTTTTAGTAGAGAGGGATTTCACCATATTGGCCAGGATGGTCTCAACTCTTGACCTCGTGATCCGCCCGCCTTGGCATCCCAAAGTGCTGGGATTACAGGCGTGAGCCACCACGACTTGCTGTTTTGTTTTGTTTTTAGACACACACAGGGTCTCTCTATGTTGCTCAGGCTGGTCTCAAACTCCTGGCTTCAGGTGATCCTCCTGCCTCAGTTTCCCATATAGCTGGGATTATGAGCACAAGTCACCACATCCAGCCATTTTTCAAAAAATGTTACCTATCCCTCCCAGTGTTCCTTTTCCAGGTCATGATAAAAGCACCGAATAGAACTGGACCGATGACATGGCCCTCTGACATGGCACTAGAAACTGCCCTTCAAGTGGATGGTGATCTATCCAGCAAGAATTTTTGGATACAGTAATGTCACCTGCTATAATTTCACTTCATGCTTCTGCTTTTTGCACAGGGCTAGTGTGAGCATCCCTGTGCAATGGCTTATTGGGAAATTGATGTGCATTGCACCGGAAGCAATCTCCTCATCTTCCTGCTTACTCATCAGACTGAAAAAGGCAACACAGACTACCATTCATTGTGTGGCTACAAGGCACTATGCATTTTCATACAATATATCTAAAGCCCATAATACTCACCAAAATAAACCATTGCTGCCACAATTTAAGAGATGAGTGGAATGAAGCTCAGGGGTAAAGTAATGGGTTTAAATTATAGTCTTATCTGACTCCAAAAACCATTCTCTTGCTATTTCTTCATACAGCTTATCAGGATCACCATGTCCTGATCTTTTTCTGAGCATTCAGTCTCCTATTTCCTAAGTGCTCAGCAAAACATTTGCCAGCCCAATTCTTAATTTCATTATCATCAGCAAAATGAATAATCAGAATTAATTGGTGAATGGTTTCTTCCTAGCACCCCTTTAAGAAACTTTCCCCTGCAATCTCCATGGGCACTAGCTTCAGCCCTTGAGTATAAATAAGTCAGTAATAAAGAATGTAGGAGCCTAATAATAAAGAGTGGGTTTTTAATTATTAAAAAAAAGTTTTAAATTAAATCTCCTCCAAACATAGACACACACACACACGTACACACACACACACACGATGTGAAAATCTCAAAGACAACTGATGATTACTTTTATGCAAATTTATGTGATAGTAAAGAAATGCACAGTAGGTATGAATCTCTACATTTTCCTTACCTTTCAAGAAATAACTTTAAAGAAAATAGGAATATTGTTTAGTATAGGAAACTCTGGCCAATAAGCTGAAATCTATACCTGCATCTAGAAGCCTCACCTGAGAGATGGCTAAGCCTATTTCCTAGCCCCCAAATCACCTTGATACCTATGCCATCTCCTCACGGGTGGTAATCAGAGAAAGCTGTAAAATCCCTTCTTTGATCCCTTCTGGGACTTCACCGATTGGAGTGGCTCTTTTCTTTGGTTCAATTATATCAGAAAATAATTAAACATGTTGGAATGAATAAATAAGTTAACTTCCAACATTTTCTTTATTTTATTTATGTTTTGAGACAGAGTCTCACTCTATCACCCAGGCTGGAGTGCAGTGGCACCATCTTGCCTCACTGCAGCCTCAACTCCCCCATGCACGGGTGATCCTCCCACCTCAGCCTCCCAAGTAGCTGGGACTATACGCTCATAACAACACACTCAGCTACTTTTTATATATTTTGCAGAGACCAAGTTTTGCCATGTTGCTCAGTTTAGTTTTGAACACCTGGGCTTAAGTGATCTGCCCACCTCAGCCTACCAAAGTGCTAGAGTTATAGGCAAGAGCCACTACACCCGGCCCAACATTTTCACATACATAATTGCAAAATATTTGTCTTTTGAAAACTTTACATTATAAATTCTTTAGATAGAAACAAAAAGTTATTAGGAAACCAAAATTAAAATGAAAGGCAATAAAATATTGGTTATTCTTCCATGTATTCATGTAACAAATGTGTGTGGATTGTGCACCATATCATAGACCCTGGGACAAAGCTGAAATGAAGAACAGGCAGGCATGGCCATAGCCCACACTGAGCTCACAGGTGAGTGGGGTGACAGACAAGGACACAGGCAATTACACTCAGTATGGGAAACCCACAGTGGGGAAGCAAGGGGTGGTGGGTGTCCGTTGGAGGCCTAACCCAGCATTGGTGGAGAGGGTCAGGAGAGACTTCTGAGGTCATTTCTGTGCTGATATCTGAAGGAAGAATGAGTGAGAAAAGTTGGCTGAGGGCGTGGGGATGGAATAATCTTTCAGGCAGAGGGAAGAATATTTGTAAGATCTAGAGCTAATTGAAAGGCACCCATATTGGAGGATATAAGCATAACTGATAGTGCCTGTGAGATGGGTATTGCCAAAATGTGAAGCTGGAGAAGTAAACCAAGATCAGACCATGAAAGTCTTTACAACATACCAGAGAGTGACATATTGGGTTGACATATCAGTAGGGTAATGCTGTGGGTAGGAGTTCAGTTAGGAGAATGTTGAAATAATGCAGGTGCAAGGTGACAGTGGCCTGAACCAGGATAATGGTGATGAGTGTCTAGGGAAGCAGGTGGCCAAGGATGGACTTGGATGGATTGGATTGGGAAGTGGGGATGGAGTGGTAGGCAAGGAATAGGGAGAGGTGGAGTACAGAACCCAGGTTTCTGATTTGTGTAAAAGGTGATGATGTTCACTGATGAAGGAGAACACAGGAATAAAAACGGATGGCAGGGAATGTGGGAACTTGACGGGTGGGTTGAATGTTCAAATAGAAGCATACAGACAGGTATCAGACATACATGTAGTCTAAGGGATATAAGCATGGAATTCTCAGCACAGAGAGGCTTCTTGAAGCCACAGGAGTCCACATGCAGGGTGAGAAGGGAAGAGAGATCAAGGCACAATCCCTGAGGAACTCCAGCATCAAAGGAGGAGAGCTTCAGGAGACGAGGAAACATGGAGGAAGACATAGGCTTTTAGGGAGACAGTGGAGTATGATGTCACAGGCTCGACAATGAACAAAGGTATAGTTGCACATACATTGGGGCACAGAAAACATTCTTTCTGAGACTCAAACATGAGCCCACTCATTTCTTGTTCAGCTACTCTATTCCTGGCATATAGATATGAAGGCTTATAAACAATCCTGGCCTGGGAACTTAAAATCTGTGTGATGAAGCCAAACACAGTAATAATAGCATCAGTGACCAAAACAGTGTATTCATTACAGAACCTGAAAGTGCTCATCACTTTGTGGAATTTTGGTTAAAATGTCTTACTACCCATTCACAGGTAGCTGCCTCCTGAGAGAGGCCCACAACACGGGTAGTGGAGGCATAAAAAGTCCTTCATTTCTCAACAATGAGAATGAGAGGGTAGCCATTGGTGGAAAAGACAGTGGGCTTCCAGTGGGCCGAAAGGAGAAAGAAGTGGTCACTGATGTTCCAGGCTGGAGTGAGCCCATATAGACACCCATGATATGGGGATGCAGAAGAGAGGGCAGCCCAGGAATTCTGGAGAGGCACCGCACTCAGATACAGCCCAGCGTGACCCAGGGACAAGAAGGGAGTGATTGAAAGTCGTTAGAGACAGCATTGACCCTTACTTCACTCACTGCTTCCCACAGAATTCCTAGCAATCAAGACACTCCTCCCACTGCCCAGGCAGGGGGGCAGAAATTTTATCTCTGCAGAAAGGGAAGCGCCAGAGACAGGCCTCTGGACACTGACATCTGGGGCTACCCGCAGAAGAATGAGAATACCCTTCCTGAGCACCTTAGGGACACATTTCGTTAGGGTTGTTTTTTTTTTGTGGGTGGGAGGCAGGCTTGGGAGCCGTGTTCTGTGTGAGGGTCGTGATTGGATGGTGTGGCCCAGCAACAAGTCGCATCACCCAAAGGAATTGGGTGCATTGGATTGATTGTCTGAAGCCTGCCAACAATGATTTTGGGTAGCAGTTCTGTTAGAAAAGCCATGAAATTATATTATGGAAATTGGACCAAGCCCATCGCCATTTAGTTCATTGCTTTATAACCAGCTCATGAGGTTAAAAAAAAAGGAAGTCGACGTTAAAAAGTTCCATTCATTGGGGTGGTGTAGACTCTAACTTTTGTCTACCTTTGTTTGCTTGCCTGCTTGCTTTTTGTTTTGGGATCTAATTTATTTGTAATTATTTGTCTTGTATGTAGTAACCATCACTTGCCCCCTAACCATTGAAAAGAGAATTTCTTGACGAGTTAAATCAGAAGCCGTCTCTTACTCAACCTTACCAAATTCTTTCTCTCCCGGTTGTAATTTATTGCACCAGCTGCCTCCCCACCTGCCAATTCTCCTTCAGATATGCCTCCTCTGCAGCAACACTTAAGATATTTTTATTAGAATTAGAAAGTGTAGCAAATTATGTTTATTTTTCCTTTCCCTATTGCTTCTATACAAAATCTCCCCATTTATTTTCTTTGAAACTATTTACAAGCGATTGCTTTAACCCTGCTCCCCCAGCATACCTGTGTTTATGTTATCTTTCTTTTATTACAATACATTGAGCTGGCCCTCAGGTGGATTCCTCATTTTGATATTATTGACACTTCTTTTATCTTTACTGGACTGCTTCTCTGTGTGCTTTTTTGACAGTCATCCTGTCGAGGTTTTCTTTCAATCTGTTTGACACATTTTTTCCTTTTTTGTTGTTGTTGTTCTTTGTTTTTCAAGATGGGTCTCGCTGTGTTGCCCAGGCTGGAGTGCAGTAGGACCATCATGGCTCACTGCAGCCTTAAACTCCTGGGCTCAAGGAATCCTCACCCTGCAGCACTCTGAGTAGCTGGGACTACAGGCACGTGCCACCATGCCCAGCTAAGTTGTTGTTTTTTTTTTTTTTTTTTTTTTGGTAGAGATGGGGTCTCACTTATGTTGCCCAGGCTGGTCTTGAACTCACAGCCTCAAGTTATCCTCCTGCCTTGGTCTCCCAAAGTATTGGGATTACAGGCGTGAGCCACCGCACCCAACCTTCCTGTGTTATTAAAGGAGAAATCCTAGTAATGAATAAAAAAAGACTTTAAGGTATAATTGACAATAAGTTGGCCTTTGCCATTTAAATAAGGAAATTGAGGGCAAAAAAAATCCTCTGAATGTGTATAGAAAATGCTGCTGGGGAGTGGTTTATGAATATTTAATTAAAGAGATGAGAGCCAGGCAAGGTGACTCACACCTGTAATCCTGGCACTTTGGGAAGCCCAGGCGGGAGAATTGCTTGAGTCCAGGAGACCAGCCTGGGCAATATAGTGAAACCTCTTCTCTGCAAAATAATTTTTTTAATTAGCTGAGTGTGGTGGCACATGCCTGTAGTCCCAGCTACTTGGGAGGCTGAGGTGGGAAGATCCCTTGAACCTAGGAGTTCAAGGCTGCAGTGAGCTATGATCGCACCACTGCACTCCAGCCTGGGTGACACAGCAAGACCTTGTCTCAAAATTAAATAAATAAATAAAGAGATCGGAGGCATTACTACCATAAAGTATTTGCTATTGCTTTCTGGTGTCATTATAACAACCAGCATGTTCTGAATATCAGAATTATCTGTGACATTAAGTATGTATTTGAGCAACTATTAAAACTATATGTAATGGTGGCTCACATCTGTAATCCCAGCACTTTGGGAGGCCGAGGTGGGTGGATCATTTGAGGTCAGCAGTTCGAGACCACCCTGGTCAACTTGAGGAAACCTGGTCTCTACTAAAAATACAAAAATTAGCCAGACATGGTGGTACACACCTGTAATGCCAGCTACTTGGGAGGCTGAGGCAGGAGAATCGCTTGAACCTGGGAGGCGGAGGTTGCAGTGAGCCGAGATCATGCCACTGCACTCCAGCCTGGGTGATGGAGTAAGACTGCACCTCAAAAAAAAAAAAAAAAAAAAAGAAAGAAAAAAAACTATATGTAATCTATTGGATTTCTCAGAAATGGATTTTCCAAAGCAAAAGAATTTTATTTGACTAGTGTATGTTCAAACTATGTTATCTTTTATGCATCTGCAGATCAAAGATTACTTATAACTGTGTCAATGTGCCAATGCCCAGAAGAAAGATAAAAATATTTACCAGCATTTCTAGGAAATGAATGATATAGATCAAGCAACAGGATATTTTTATTTTTCATTCACATTTTTAATGAAACCCTTTCCCCTTGCATCACCAAAACTTTTTTCTAGCCAAAAAGAGAGAGAACTCAGTATCACATGTGGAAACTACCTCAGAGTTTCCTATGCCTTATTTGTTGTTAGGAATCTAGACATCATAAAAACTCAGAATATCCTCAGGTTTTGTTTTGTTTTGGTTTTGGTTTGGGGTTTTTTTGAGACAGGGTCTTGTGCTGTCACCCTGGCTGGAGTGCTATGGTGCTATCATGGCTCACTGCAGCCTCCACCTCTTAGGCTCGAGCAATCCTCCTACCTCAGCCTCCCGAGTAGCTGGGACCACAGGTGCACACCTCCATGCCCAGCTAATTTTTTGTATTTTTTGTAAAGATGGGGTTTCGCCATGTTGCCCAGGCTGGTCTCGAACTCCTGAGCTCAAGCAATCTGCCAG
The DNA here is from genome assembly GCF_000001405.40 of Homo sapiens. Classification (NCBI taxonomy): domain Eukaryota; kingdom Metazoa; phylum Chordata; class Mammalia; order Primates; family Hominidae; genus Homo; species Homo sapiens. The sequence continues at coordinate 160,948,673 of NC_000006.12, forward strand.
CCTGGGCCTCTCAAAGTGCTGGGTTTACAGGCAGGAGCCACTGTGTGCCACCTGTCCTCAATTTGTACCTTAATGATTTCAACAGCTATTGCTTAGTAGCTGTGGAGCAAAGAAGTACAAATTTGTATGTTTGCTAGATTGGGAATATAATTAGTGAAATCTAGAAGATACTTTTACAGTTGCTTTTGATGAGGTCTTATGGCCAGTTACATTATTATTCAATGGTATCTTAATTTCAAGAAGAATGTAGACTCACAGATACGGGACTAATTAAAGTGGAAAGGCACATTTACAGATAATCACAGTCTGCTTTTTTTGTGAGGCACATGAGTAGAGTTTCAACTTACACTATTGTTAAACCTATAATGGCATATCCATAGCCCTCTGTTAATCATTTTTTTGCCTCTTAGTTTATTTTCATATTTCCTTTGAAAGAAAAATACTAATAAAATTACATAAAGGATTTCTTTTCATAATTTTATGATCTAGAAAAGTAATTAACATATAAGTCCATTATAGCTAAAATTATACTGAAAATATATCTTCACACACCTCATACCACTACTACAACATATATTTGCCTGAGTTCCTTTCCTCTCCGCCCCGCAATTTCGTCAAAGCAAAAGGACCATCCCACTACAGAGTAAAACCCTAGGTAGATAGAAACAAAACAGCCAGGGAAGATCTAGAAATCCAGTTAGAGCCAGCATAGCACAAGATAATCAGTCTTTAAAAGAAGTCACATATTTAGGTTTTGCAAAACGTTTTTAAATTTTTTTACTTTAGATATAAAAGGCCAGACTCATTTTTCTAGATTATATCTCATATATTTTGAGGTTTCACATTTATGAAACAAAACCATAATTTCCTAAGTGTACAATTTCTTGAAAGCATTTCAACAAACATTTAAGTTTTAGTTTTTGTTAAGGAATTTCACCAAAGGCCTCTTTCTAAATCTTTTTTTTTTTTTTTTTTTTTTTTAGCTGAAGTTACTATTTTCCAACTACATGGTACAACACGCAGGCAACTCTGGGCATGTGCACACAAGTGCAACACACAGCCTCAGTGTTATGGGCAGAAAGCTTATTCACCAAAGACCTATTTTTAGATGAGTGCTGTGCCAAACTATACTGTTTCATTTTTTTAGGTTAAGAGCAATATTTCATGTAAAAAATGTTTTTAAAAATGCATTCAAGCTTTCTTGGGAATAATCCAACTGTTTTGCTAAACCTTCCCCTTTCTTCGAGGGTACAGAAGTACAAAGAGTATATTCAATTTGTTACATAAAAGAATACTCAAAGAAGACTGAAGCCACCTCCAGTTAGCAAGTTCTTTGCCATTCAGGTAACAATTCATCACAGTTTGACAAGATCACTTTTTAAATTTAGGCTTAAGAAGGACGGCAGAAATAGCTCTGGGCAGAGAGGAAAGGTTCACATGGATGTATATAATGCATTGTGGTTTGATATTTTACCCCACACCCATATTATAAATAAACACGACTGAAGTACAGTGTAAAAATCCTCCAAATAGTCACTGTGCTAAAACTAAGCATGTGTGCTATATTAAGAGAAGTGGTATCTACGGTACTTTTCATGATAAAATGCTTCTTTTCCTTTCCCCTCTCAAAAAAAAAAAAAGACTTTACGAACTTCTTCATAGTGATTGTATAGTTTGTAATTTGAAGTTCAAATTTGTAAAGTGAAGTTCAAGGTTAGAGGAGTGCAGTCAATTTTCATTTACAAACTTTGTAGATTTTGTGTAGGTAGTTTGCTTTCTTTGGCAATCATTTAAAATCTGGCTGGCCTCTGCTTGCTGGCCAAACACTTCCTGGGATTTCTCTCCTTCCAGAGACCTCTTTAAATTTCCCTAGAGTGTTTGCAAAAAGAACTGCTTTTAAAGATAGGCAAACCTACTTACGAGAAAGGAGCAAATGCCTGGGATATCTGAAGTTAATGCGTGTTGTTTTGGTAATCTGCTATTTTGAATGATGACATGAGCAGGCAGTGTGTCATTCACGGAACCAGCCCTGGTGCCAGTCTCCTACCAGTTTGTTTACCTCCAGCTCCTCTAGAAACAAGTTAAATGATGACTCGGGCCTGGTGTTGTGCTATATTTTAGCACTTAAAATGATTCAACAGAGTATATATTGATTTTATAGTTCCTTTGTAATGAAACCTTGGGAACCATTGTGTTTTTTAAATATAAACAAATGTATGTATTATTACCTACCTCGTTGAAATCAGCAACTGTCAGGAAGCTTAAAACAATGATTCCTTTTTGGGAGTCCCCTTTTGGGAAACCAAAGCCCCATTATTTTACTTGCTCGTATACTAATATCACACTGATTTGGGATGAGAATTAACCACATGTAATATCTGCAACAGCCATTCTTTCATTAAACAAATGTGTCCTGACCTCCTATTCTGTATCAGGACCATGTCAGGGGTGAGGCATGCAAAGGTGAAGGAGGTAATCCCTGTCCTCCAGTAGGTCACAAACTAAGAAGGAAAAAAAAAAAAAAAGCTAAGGAGGGAAACTGAGCCATAGAGAAATGATTAAAATAGGGTTTAGAATATGCAAATGTTAGTGTGTGCACAGGGTTTTCTGAGAACACAGAGAAGATTGGTCTGGGTGGGGCAGGCAAGGAAGGTTTCCTAAGCAAAGACGCCTGAATTGAGTCAAAGGGGATGAGCACCAGCACGTGGCCAACCAAGCAGGGGGAAGACACGTGTGGGAAGCGGGTGGTACTGGCAGTGGGGACAGGCCCATGGGACACAACAGCAAATGCACTAAAGAGCGTGATGCGCCTGAGGACCTATCAGTAGTTTGGCCCTGTTGGCACACGGAGTGAGAGATAAGGAGGAGCAAGCGGGGGAGTTGGAAAGGTCGGCGGGGCTGGTGCATGGAGGCTTTGGGACTTTAATCAACTTGGACTTCATCTTTAGCCCATAGGAAGCCCATCAAAAGTTTTAAAGCAGGGGAGTCATGTGGTCAGAGGTGCATTTTAGGTAGATCAATGTGTAGAGGACAGAACTGAAGAGAGCAGGACTGGACCCTGGAGAAGAGCTGGGAGACTCTTCTAGTAGTCAAGGTGAATGATGAACTAGATGGTGTTAGGAGTGGAAGGGGAGATGGCCTCCAGAAGTGACAACCTTCAGATCAGCAGAACTTGTTGAGTGATGAGATATGAAGGGTGAAGGAGCAAGAGCAGCCAAGAGTGACTCGAACCACTCGAGCTCAGAAGAACTGACGGCTGGAGAGACAGGAGCAGGGAACAGGGTCCATTTTGAGGGCAGATGATGGGAGAGGCTTCCCCTCCACCTCCCAGCACACACACACACACACACACACACACACACACACAATTTACATCTTTGTCTTGCTCCCATAATGCGCCATACCGTCCCCACAAGAACATTGTAGCACTTCATTTTAATTACTTCATTGTCTGTCTTCCTCACTAGACTATAAGCTAACTGACAACATGAATTGTGTTTGCTTTCTTCATTGTTCATTCCCAGAGTCAGCAGACTGCCTGGCACACGGTAGACATTAATAAATATGTATTAAAGGACTGTGTTCCATTTCAGATCATAATTAAGAATCAGCCATATATTTTCAGTTAGTTTTTTGCAATATTTTTATGACAGCCTTGTTGGAGTTGTTTAATAAAGAGACTCCATCTCAAAAAACAAAAAGAAAGAAATTTCTGCTCTTTATAAATTACCCAGTCTTGGGTATTCTGTTATAGCAGCACAGAGGAGACTAAGAAAACATTAGGCACTTTATGGAGTCAAAAAAAACCCAGAAAACCAAAAACTTAGAAAAACAGAAAGCCCAGACTCTGAGTATCATTGCCATTAAACTGTTTCCCAATGTTTTGGATGTATACAGGCTCACTAAATAAAAAATAAATCTATTCAAGGTCGGGCACGGTGGCTCACGCCTGTAATCCCAGCACTTTGGGAGGCTGAGGCGGGTGGATCACCTGAGGTCAGGAGTTCCAGACCAGCCTGGCCAACGTGGTGAAACCCCATCTCTGCTAAAATTACAAAAAATTAGCCGGGCATAATGGCGGGCACCTGTAATCCCAGCTATTCAAGAGGCTGAAGCAGGAGAATGCTTGATTCTGGATGTTGCAGTGTGAGCCAAGATTGCGCCATTGCACTCCAGCAACAAGAGTGAAACTCCAGCACGGGAAATGAGCAAGAAGGTCAAAAAAAAATTAATAAATAAATCCATTCAAGAGTGGCATTTGCTGTTTTCTGTGTGGCTCCCCATTGTCTTATGACCCCAGTGGTTGAACAAGGTAAGAAGTGGGTCCAAAGAAGACGTCAGCATCCATCGTGTGCTCCATGAGTGCCTGCATTCTCCCCAAAGCCGCTCAGTGTGTGCTGCAAGCTCTCTTTTGTTGCCAGTGCCTGTCCATCCCTAAAAAGCCTCGCATTGATTCTGCTTCTAAATGGTTTCCCCTTTTTGCAAAGCATCATTTATACCCCCAGAGAAAAGAATGTGAGCTCAGAGGCGTCTTTGTCCAAAGAAACTTTGAAGGCAGATTCCTTGAGCTCTCAAGACATTCCACAGTCAGTAGTTCCTTTCCTCATGGGTGCATGTATTTAACTCTGGCAGGAACCTTTGACATGTTTTTTCCATAGTTCCTTTTATTGTGATTTCCTAGGTACATTTCAGTGTCAAAAATGTAAGTAGAAAAGAAAGTATGCAATATTCTTGCTAGGTTTCAAACAAACGAGAAACTCTTGTTTTACATTTTTTTGATAATTACTTTCTTAAGAAAACTATGGGTATACCTTGCTTGCATGGAAAATGTGTTATGAAATAATGTGTACAGATTACATTTCTGTGAATCAAATCCTTCTAGGTGAGACGGTTAAAGGAGTTTGTTTTGCTCTTTGTTTTAAAGTGAAAAGTGTATTTTATAGGGCAGTCTCTTAACTTGCCTGTGTGCTAATCCTATGCATTATTACATCAGAATAACTACTTCCTCTGACCCTGACCCTGACCCAAGTCATGGCTACTTCTTCACTTTGATGACCATTAGGGTCTCCTCACCAGCCCCTTAATTCCACCCTTGCTTTTAGTACAGCATCCTTAGTGATCCCTTTAAAACATAAATACATTTTAAAACTTAACTCCTCTATTCAGAACACTCCAACAGCCCTCCATTTTCTTCAGAGTGGAATCCAGAGTTCCTACAATTGCACTCACCTTTTTGACCCAGCAATCCCATTACTGGGTATATACCCAAAGGGTTATAAATCATTGTATTGTAAAGATATATGCACACGTATGTTTACTGCAGCACTCTTCACGATAGCAAAGACATGGAACCAACTCAAATGCCCATCAATGATAGACTGGATAAAGAAAATGTGGTACATATACACCATAGAATACTATGCAGCCCTAAAAAGGAATTGAGATCATGTCCTTTGCAGGAACATGGATGAAGCTGGAAACCATCATCCTCAGCACACTAACACAGGAACAGAAAACCAAACACCGAATGTTCTCACTCATAAGTGGGAGCTGAACAGTGAGAACACATGGATACAGGGAGGGGAACAACACACACTGGGGCCTGTCAGTGGGGGTCGAGAGGAGGGAGAGCACCAGGAGAAATAGCTAATGCATGCAGGGCTTGATACCTACGTGACAGGTTGATGGGTACAGCAAACCACCATGGCACATGTTTACCTATGTAACAAACCTGTACATTTTGCACATGTATCCCGGAACTTAAAGTAAAATAAAAATAAACACACAGGCACTGGCTGCTCCCTCCACCTGGAATTCCTTCCCTACATACCCACATGGCCATTCCCCTCATCTCTTTCAAGACTTCCCTCAACTTTCACCTTCCCAGGAGGCCTGCTGTGACCACTCTGTGTAAAACTGCAGTCCCCGCTCACCCCCTTCTCCTCCTCTTTCCCTTCTCTCTTTTTGGGGCTTACCTCCTTCTAATACACTACCACGTATTTGCTTACTTATGTTTAGTGTCCTCATCACTAGAATGTAAACTAAATGAAGACAGAATTGTTTCCTATTTGGGTGGCTGCTATGTCTGCAGTGCCTAGCCTGGTGCTAGTACAGAAAAGAAATCCAAACATTTATTAAATGAACAAGTGAATGAGTTCATTGGGTGTTTTTCATGTGTAATCTAAACAGAAGCAAATTTTAATTTTCTGTGTAGTTTTAAACTACAAGAAGGGTAAAGTCCATTAATGTGTGTATTTGGAAAAGTAGATTTTGTAAGCCAGGCACGGTGGCTCACACCTCTAATCCCAGCACTTTGGGAGGCTGAGGTGGGAGGTGGGCCTGAGCTCAGGAGTTCAAGACCAGCCTAGGCAACATGGCAAAATTAGCCGGGCATGACGGTGTGTGCCTGTGGGCCCAGCTACTCAGGAGGCCAAGGTGGGAGGATCACTCGAGCCTGGGAGGCGGAGGTTGCAGAGAGCCGTGATTGCACCACTGCACTCCAGCCTGGGTGACAAAGCAAGGACCGATCTCAAAATAAGTAACTAGAGAGAACATTCTTTCTTTCTTTTTCTTTATGCTGGTCCAAGAATTTCCTAAACCTGGGTAGGCATAAGAGATAGTAGCAAGAAAGCCCCGACTTAGGGCTTGGTCAGAGCATTTGACCACTCTCAGGTTTTGACTCGGTAAAATATGCGTAATGATAGCTGCTATTGTTGTGAGGATTAGAGATAATGTACATGAAGTGCCTGGCCCACCTCGATGACTACTCCCTAAATAAGCTTTATGACATTCTCTGGATCTGTCCTCAGCAGTCCCAACAACTTAAGACATCTAGAGAGCAAACAAACAAGCAACCAAACAAAAAACTCCTGTTTCCTACCCAGAGCTCTTTGCCCGCCACACCCTGAGGAGCTCTTTTAAAGACTGCGTAGTGAGGACATCAAAGCTATGCACCATCCTGCAGTTAGGGAGGAACAGTGAGTCAAGGACCAGATCCTCTCCCCTGGCCCAGGATAAAGCAACTGCTTCCTTCTGTAGACTTGGTGCGGCTTGCATTTTGCATCTGTGGGTTTTGATGTTTTCGAGTCTTTTCCTTGTATCATTGTCCCACAGTAGTCCTGTGACATAGATAAGGCAGCTACAGATACTCTCAGCAACAGGCTCCAAACGACTTGCCTGTGGCCACAGGGTGTCCTGGACTTCAAGTGAGTGCCCATTTCTGCAACAAATATTTGACTCCCTGTTTTCTGCCAGGCGCTGTTCTAGGCACTGAGAAGAAAGTAATGTCTCTGTTCTCATGGGACATACGTTTTAGGGGAGGGGAAAGGGACAAGAAGCAAATACAAGTAAATATGCAACAGGCCAGGTCCACAGAGTGACGGGCTGCAGAGGTGCTGGGGATTGGCATTTGACGGAGAGAAATCAAGTAAAGCCTTGCTGAGAAGATGACATTTGGGAGGAGACTGAAGAGTGTTGCAGTGCCGATGTGGCAAGGGCAAGGGCCCTGAGGCAGGACCACACCTGGATGCCTGAAGCACAACAGGGAGGCCAAAGAGGCTGGAGCTCGGTGGGTAGGTGGGAGAGAGTCGGGAGAGGTGCTCAGAGAGCACGCAGAGGATCAGGGCTTGCCTGCCTCTCTAGGCCATCATAAGGTTGGGTTTTTACTGTAAGTGAAATCAGACGGAAAGCACTAAGGGTTTTCAGAAGGGGAGTGACAAAATCTGACCTACCTGTTATCAGAATCATCTGGCTGAGGCCACCCAGACAGGAGGGAGCCAAAGGGAACCAGGCAGAGCAGCTTGCAACAGGTGCAGCCGGGAGGTGTTGGCAGCTGAGACCAGGCCTGTGGCCATGGGGTGTTGAGAAGTGGTTCAATTCTGGCTATATCTTGCAGGTAGAACTGGAAGATTTTGCTGAAAGATTGGACATGGCATTCAGAGAAACAGAGGTTTTAATGACAAACTCCAAGTTTTTGGCTGGAGCAACTGGAAGAATGAGGTTGCCATGAACCGAAAAGAGAGATTGCAGGTGGAGCAGGTTTTTGGCGTTTTGTTTGATTGTTTCTTCAAGGGGTGTAGGCGAAAGCAGGAATTAAGCTTGGGGCATGTGAAGTTTATTAGATATACAAGGGGAGATGCCTCACAGGCATGCTGGTAAGATGCTGGTAGGAGCCCAGGGCCTCATCTGATATCGGGATTCATCAGTGTTTAGAGTGTAGGGGTTGCTTAAACCCATGAAAGTAGAAGAAATCATCTTGAAAGTGGTGTAAATAAGGCAGCAGCCAGAGGTTGCAATGCGGTAGGACTCCAGCATTTGCTGGTTAGGGGAGGGAAGGAACCGGCACTGGAAGCTGACAAGGTGTGACCCATGGCAGGAAGAGAGCTGGGGAGGGATGGTGTCCGGGAGGCCAGGGAAGAAGGTAGGGGGTGGGGTGACCTCTGTCTGTCACATGGTGCTGATAAGTGAAGCACCTGAGGTCCAAGATGTAACCATCCTTCTAGCAATGTGGAGGTAGCTTTGGTGAGCGAACCACCCATTCTTTCTCTTCCCAATATAAAAAAACAAAAACAAAAACAAAAACACGAGATTAAAGTCTCAGGTTTTATTGGTAAAAATTAAAGCTTCAGACTTTAATATTATTTTTTATATTGGCAAGAGAAATAAATTGTTTTCTATATTGGAAAGAGAAATATTTTCAAGAATAAAAAATCCAAGGGGGAGCTTGGATTTTTATTTTTAGGCTATAACTTTAAAAAATTTTATTTATAGAAATGTATAGAAACAGAAAAATTGCTCATAATCCCATCCTCCAGAGGCATTTTTATGCATTTTTTCTTATATATTTGAGACCATGTTATGCATATATATTTTGGGCATGTGGAACCTTCTTTTATAAACATAATATATCCCTAGGTCATTGAAAGCACTATGCACACATTATTTTTAGTGACTGGCCTTCGTGTCCTACATCATGATATCCAATAATTTATTTGATTATTCCTCTTCCGCTGGATCTAGGTTCCCAAATGTTTACTCTTATATATAGTATTGATAATCACTTCCAAGCTCTCACTGGAAGTTAGTTGTTTTGGATAGCTAGCTAGAAGTGATGGAAATCAAAGGGAGTCAAGGGTGCAAACATTTAGAGCACCTGCTACATATCACTAAATTGCTTTTGAGAAAGTTTGTATGAATATACACACCTACCCAAAATGAAGGAGGGATGCCTTCTTACCACTCTCTGTTGGCTCTGCTATCATCAATTGTGTTGAAATGTTTATTTCTGATTATTAAAGCAATATTTTTATTGAAAATTTGAAAAATCAGAAGTGCATAGAGAATTTTAAAACACAATAGAAACAACAGTCTTTTAATACTTTTGGGTTTTTTTATTAATTAGAATCATACCTTATGTGTTTATACACACACTATATATATATATATATATATATATATATATATATATGCATATATATTTATTTCTTAATTTGGCATCACTTGGTGAAGCATTTTCCACGTCACTAAATATAATTCCCAAACATGGCTTTTAATGACCCTGTAGTCTTTCATTCCATTGGAGTGCTATTACTTATTTGCTATCCTCTTATTGTTGGGTGTTTGTATTAATTTTTAGTATCAAAAGTAATGCTTATATTCAAATCATTGTATGCATCATTTGATTCTTCCATATAAGCTCCTAGGCCTGGAGTTACATGGTCAAAAATGAAAATATATTAGAAATTTTCCCCCAGAAAGACTATACTAATTTTTGCTGCTACCCACATTGTGAAAAAGGAATGCTTGTCTACTGTGGCTCCCCCAACACTGTGTATCATCAGTCATTTTTCAATTTTTTTGATAGTAGAGTAGAGATAGTTTATCAATGATGTTTGCCTTTTTTCATGAGTTTATTATGGATTACAAAGATATGGCTTTTGTTTATGTCTTTTATCAATTTATCTGTTGGAGTCTTGTATTCTTCTTAGTTATCTGGCAAAGCCATTTACATCACAAGGGTATTGATGTTATGCCATATTTGGGGTAAATATTGCCCCCACTTATTTGCGTTGATTTCATAATGGCATTATATAATCTATAAAGTTTTAACATCTTATGTAGTCACATTTATCAATATTTTTCTTTTCTTTAAATTTTAGAAAATTCTTTGCCATCTGAAAGTAATGTACATCTACATGTTTATAAACTATAACTCAAGATTTCTTTTAACTGTTTTAAAAGTTATTTATTTCTATGTATAGCTAAAGGTAACACCCTAAACTGTCTTTTTTTCCCTAGAAGTAACCAAATTTACTCACGTAGGCCAGGAATTTCTATGACGTGTTCCAAATTCAGCCTCTCACTGAACACTTCCAGAGCAAGGCAACATAAACAGTAAGTGACCTATTTGAACAGTTCTAATAATGTGGGGTTTTGTTTGGGAATCAGTCAGCATATCACAGGCTATACTGCAGTCATCAACAGCTCCCATCTCTTCTACACCTTGTCTGGAAGTGAAACCCCTTATTTCTACCTGTAGCTCATGGGCCAGAGCTAGTCACATGGCGCTACCTAATTGCAGGGGCCTGGGGAAGGCAGAGAAGCCAATGGAATGGTTTGGGAGCATCACTCTTCTGCTTCCTGCCATTTGCTGTCTTGTTGGCCCCGAGAACACAGAGTAAGCCTTTTCCATACGTGTTTTCAAATATTCCAGAATAGCAATGATATTGCCTTTCCCCACATATACCTATTGCCATGCACACACAAACCCTGAGTCCTTGGTAGTATTCTGATTTTCAGGAATACAAACCCCTATTCTTTTGATTGTTCATTCTTTCTATGATGCAGTTTCTCATCTCCTTGCCATCCTGGCGACCCCTTTCTGGATGCTTTGTCATTTATTAATACCCAAAATGTCTTGTGATTAAAACAGAAATGTGTATTCTACTTATTTTTCCATTTCATTAGCTTTTGGTCTTATGTTCTTGAAGGCAGAGCTTTTATCTTCTTCTCCTTGATAGCCCCTTCCACTACACCTTCCTATCCAGCTAGCACAAGGCCTGACTAGTGGCTTCTCAGTTTGCCAAATGAATTGTACACCAGTAGTTTCCATTGACCGGGACTGTGATTCTAACCGACACGAGAACCCGTATCCTAGAGCCATTACCAAAAAGCAATTCATTCAGCTATTCTAACTGCTTTCTGTTATAATCTGCTCAAGTCATACCATTACACACCATTTCTGTGCTTCAACTTCTCAGTGCTCACTGCTGCTACATGTTTTCCCATTGGGTATTGGTGAATCACTGGAGTGTGAAAAAGTAGACAACCTAGAAAAACAATGTCGCCAAACTGACTGTGATTGTGAAAATCTTGAAGTCTCTGCTGATTTAGAATGAGGAAGAAGAAGGGACATTTTAAGACCTCTTCTCCAACTCCTTGTACTATTTTTAGATAGGAAAATTTGCCTTGATCAGTCTTGTATTCCTTGAACAAAAAGCCTTCCTTCTTTGCCACCCTCCCCAGCAGGGAGCTTCATTGTTCCTACAGAGGCAGATGGTGACGGTGGGGCCAGAGGAGTCTGTAAGGGCCAGACTTTTTCGCAGATGTTTCTGCCAGGAAAATTTGCCCTGGTGACATTTGAGAGTGTTTACAGGGCAGCATAAAGTTGGCTTCTGTATTACCCAATTATCTGTGCCTTATGTATGTTCCAAACCTATTTAAAATGCTAAGCAGAAATACTTGCATCTTAAACCCATGATAAATGCAGTGCTAAAAATCTGTGTGACAGCTGGTCATTACATGTATATTAAATCCTTGTTGGGACCCAGAGACACTGTTTGTTCTAAGAGTTAGCCTAGATTCAAGCTTTTATTAGGACACCTAAGTATACTGAAGCTTAAGCTTAAATTTCCCGTTTAACCAACCTAATAGTTTCCAAATACACATTCATCTACTCATTATCTTCTAACTTCCTTCATTATCATGACTGAATGCTAGGAGTCTATTTTTCAAAAGAGCGAGACTATCATTATGCCTCCCTTGAAACCAGTGAAGTTCAGCTCATGTCAAACTGCCATTCATTAAACGCACACTAAATGCATCTTTAAAACCCAGTAGTTCTATGCACTACCCTAAAGGTATTTTCTAACATTATTTCCAAAACACTTTTTTGTTCCAAGTAATGTGAGTAGGCCTAGCAATTAACTAATTTCCAGCCAAGCCTGAAATATCAAAGGTTAGTCCTCAGAGATGGTAGTGTGCGAAAGAATGGGAGCTCTTGTTTGAAAATTCAGCTGTGTTGATTTTACAAGTCAGGACTGGAAAACAGCCAAAAGACTTTATTAACCTTCTTTTCAATCTTTCCTAAGAATTCTCTCACATCTAGGATGCCAATTACACTCCACAAAGTCACGCTTATTTTGTGGTGCCCTGGGGGTGCCTGCCTGCTGTTATCAGTAGAGTTAACTGCAGTGGGTAGAGGTTTGGGACTGAAAGAATCCATTTTAACTCAAGGATAGGGCATCTGTTTCCCCTGGCATCTCAATCAAGTTGGGGGCTCGTAGGATGCCCCAAAGAAGAGGAAGGACGTTCCAACACACGTTCATTCTTTGAGGCTTGGCTGGTGGCTTGATGCTTACTATAGCCTGGCTCTGTTGACTATCCTGACCGTCCTTTTAGTTCCTATTACTCTTGACTCAGAGGTTGGAATCTTTATTGCTCTCTCAACTGTACTTTTGCTTCTCCAGTCCTCACCTCTGGCCCTTTCTATCCTCAGGCCCTAAGACTCTCTCCCTTGGTCTGCCCCAGCTCTGAGGATGGGGTCTGCAGAGCTGCACTCCCCAGGTTTAAAAATGCCTGCTCTCATCACTCAGGAACATTGCAGAGAAAATCCAGATACCCTATGTTTATGGTATGATGTGTCTCATTTTGCATATACTTCAAGAAGAGGAACATGAACAGTTGAAAGTGCAAAAACTGAAATTTGTTCAGAAATAGATGTTAGTAAACTTTTACATATAAATTCAAAATATATAAAAATGGTGAAGTATTTTGTATGGACAGTGACCCCTGCACAGAAACTTTTTTGTAGCAAAGCAATAAGCCCAGATTTCAAATAGAAGAAGCTGGGATGATACACAGACTATAAACCTATCAGTCTTTAAAAAGTAACCTATTCCCCCTTCCCCATCAAAAAACATAGTCATGTACATTCATTTCTCTCTAGTAGTATTCATTCTGGTAAAGACTGTGTTCATGTTGCCATAATTAAAACTCTACAAATTGAGAAACTTTCATAAAAGCCAACTATCAACATGTCTGAAACGTGTAAAATGTTGATATAATTTAAACCCCTCTTCAGTAGTTGCTAAATACATGTTTCCCCTCCCTTAACATCAAATACACCATTGTATAGCTATGTTTGGAGTTTAGGATTACAAGGCCTGATAGATTCAAAATACCACAGAAAAACAGCCTACTCTGGTCTGTTCTAAATTCATCAATTATTTTAAAAATAACTATCAACTACATAACTGGAATGCTTTTAAAAAAAACTGTATTTATAAAAAAAAGAAATTGTATCAGATTGACTGGTTATTTGGGATACAATACTCTCCACATGGTAGACGATAATAAAAAATGGTCCTAAAGCTCACCTGCTCACGAATTCTGAATAATTTAGGTAGATACTCCCTGCCTCAAGGAAGTGAGACATAACTCTCCACTCTGCAAATGCAGGCTGCTCATTGTATAGTAATTTCCTTCCAAAGTGTACCAAAGAGAGAAAAGAGTAACTTTACAGTGAGAAACCTACAAACACTGTCAGGCAGGTGGTCAAGGTGAATGCCAACAGTGATACGTGCCCTTGGTAGGATGTGATGAGAAGGGCACTTCACCTCTGTGGTCTTCCTTCCAAAAACCCATAACCTTAGTCTAACCATGAGAAAAACATCAGAAAAACCCCAGTTGATGTCCTTTCTACAAAACGCTTGACCACTACTCCTTAAAACTGTCATCAAAAAACAAGGAAACCCTGACAAACTGTTAGAGTCAAGAGGTACCTAGGACTACATGATAATGAAACATAATATGGTATCTGTGAGAGGACCCCTGTGCACTTTAGTTTAATGTACCAGTGTTGGCTCATTAATTGTGACAGATGTACCATATAATCGAGATGTTATTAACCGGGTAAACTGTGTGTGGAGGTTACAGGAACTCTCTGCACTGTGAGTTCACAGCAGTTCTAGAAATCTAGAACTATTAATAAATAGTCCTAACAAACCATCCAAATGGGCCAAATATGACTTTCTCTACAACCAAGTGTGCCTTTTAACAACTGGCTTCCAGACCACCACAGCTGCTGCCTCTGACTCACACCCAGCCACCTGTCTCTAGACCTAATGTGGGACAAAACGTTCCCCACAACACCTTTCGAATTGTTCCACATATCTGAAGCCAGGTTAGAAATTTCCAGGAGTCATCTGAATGTGCATCTACCCTAGAACAGAGTCCCGTGCGGAGGTGTTAGGACATATTTGCCATCCATTGCCTGCCTAGACATTCCTTCCTACCGTCTGAGTCTCACTGTGGTTTCCTGCTACAGAAGTTGAAAATCCCAGCCCCCAGCCCAGGGCTGTGTCCTCCGCTCCACTGTCAGATACACCTGTGCCAAGTGTAGAATAAGGAGACAGGAGGGAGGCACCTGCCCAGCGGCAGCGCTGCGATGAGGCTAGTGGCAGTGTGGGCTAGCAGGATGGGCCTGTAACGGGGCACCAGCGTCCTCCCTGGACCAATTCTGCAGCAGCCTGTGGGCATTTGTTCCTATCCATGAAGTTCCGAACCTGGTTTTCTGGCCCTCCTGGCCAGGCTGAAGCCATGCAGTATTCTTTATATCAAATTGTTTATTTTAATATGCATATGAAAGGCTGCACGAATTGTACAAACATAGCCTAATTTTCACCAAGCAAACAGATCCTTATTAGGACTCATAGCGAGAAACAAGACCCTAGAAACCCCCTTCACACCCTGTATCAGTGCACACTGATCCCAAAAGGTAATCACTCTTGTGACGTCTCAGAAGATGGCTGTCTCATAATCTAGTTTTGCCTGTTTTGAGATGGAATAGTACAGTATGTACTCTCCAGTGTTGGGCTTTTTTGTCTCGGTATTTTGTGGTGAGAAGTTTCCTTCTGGTGGTTCGCGTTATTGTAGCTGGTTCATTCTCATTGAGGTGCTGTTTTCCATTAGAGGAATATACATACCGCAATTCATTTATCCATTCTACCATTGATAAATGTTTGGCTCGGGTCCAGGTGTGACTCCTATGAACAGTGCCGCTGTGAACATTCTTGTATGTGTCTTTTGGTGCCAGTATTTTAAAAGATAAATTCCCTTTTTACTTAAACATGCCAGAATTCGCTTTTGTTGCTTTTAACTAAGAACTCTTACGCTTGAAGTTGCTATAGCTGTAAAATCTCCAGAGGCTCTGGTCATTTCAAAGCTGAAAGCCAAAGACATTTGGAACAGCAAACGTAGAATTACACGATGATAGCTATATGTGATGATTCATGGCATGATGCCAGTTCTAAAGTGTTATATATTCTTATGCTTAAGCTTTGATATTTATTTTAAAGATCATTTTGTATCTGCTTTTGCTTTTTTAATCTTGCAAAGCTATTTAGCCAAAAACAATGCTTCAATCTGACAATGCCAGTTTTTAATGGGATAAAAAAAAAGATGAATAGTATTTCTTCATCCATCTCTACCCAAGAAACAGTATACGTTCTTGTTATAGTGTGCATAAGAAGATCAACACTGGGCATTTTGCTACATTTTAGATTCATTTTGTTCAGAGATCTTTAAGGATTAGTAGGTCTGAGTTTTTAAAATATTTTATTTCTTGCAGTGCTTAACACAGCGTCTTATTAATATGGTTAATTAAACTGATATTTGCATTATAATGACGTAAGCTTGTGAGAGCACTTTTGAATCAAAGTGCAATTAAGTCAATACTATTATTTTCTTAGGCTCAGCTTGAAAGACATTTAAAGAGGAGTTACAATAGCAGACTGGTTCAGTCACTTATTAGATTGACTGTTGTTTGTACTGAGTCCTTCTCGTGGGGTAGACTAAAATGAATTATTTTAAGGGCTTAATCCTTTTCCAAGTAATAAGTATTCACATTGTTATAGTCCAGTGATTTATTATTAATGATTTTATAGTGCTTTCAAGTCACCTCTGAATTATTTCTCCTTCATGTTACTATGGGCAAGGCCCATTCATAACCAGGGTTCTGCAAGGGAATAGGGGAATACTCGTAGTTTATAATTTTTAGCAGGTAGATTCGAATGCTGTTAATAGCCCTCTATCTTGTATGTTTTATAGTGGAAATAACTTTGGGGTTAAGTATGCATGGGTTCAAATGTTGGCTCCACCATTTATTGGGTCTGTGACTTTGAGTCACGTGGTGACATAGGTAGTGTCCCTAAGCCTCCATTCTATAAATGAAAATGGGGTCATGGCACTTATTTTGCAGCATATTTGGGAAGCTTAGGTGAAATAATGCATGTAAAATGCCTACACCGTACTTACTATCAAGTACCTACATGTAAATTTCCTTCCATCTGCATTTCATTTTTAAAAATTCTTCTCTACTTTAGACATGATGCCTAATTCCTAGATGTTTCTTAGTCGATTAGCATACCATGTGATTTCACTTCTGTCTGCACTGGGCAAAGCAAGCCTTTGAACATCATCCACACAACACTTCTAAGGGAACTACCCACTCAGGATCCCTACTGGCTGGGCAGACAGGTGTGGTGCTCCATCATCTCCATCTTCCCCCAACCCCCCAAGCCATAACCAGCTGGACAGGCATCTGGCCTGAGATAAACAAATCCATAGGCTGGCCAGGGATATATCGTGTTGGAAGTCAAGCTGGGCCAAAACCGTAACCTCTGTTAGGAGAGCGCGCTGGCAAATGCTGGGCAGCAGCTGAAAGGATGTCTGTCGGGAATGAGAGTTTGGGCCATGCGCTGTGAGACCATAAGGCTGTGATGAGGTGGAGGAAGCTCACCAGGAGAGACAAGGGAAGGCAGGGATGGCAAGGAGGGGCCGAGCCTTCATGAGGCCAAGCATCAGCCCCTGACCTGCCTTCTGTCAGGTTCCACTTCCATTCCTCTTGTGTCCTTATGAAAAGCCCTGTTTTTCCTGAGTTGGTTCGAGGATGCTTCTGTTCCTCAAAGCCAAAATAGTCGGGACAGAAAACTGCCTTAAATACACATACTAGAATCACAGAATCCTCCAGGAAAACTGTGATTCACTCACATCAAAGTTTCATGGGAAGGAACACCTTCAAAACTATTAGTTTTGGAAGGATAATTAAGGACACTACAGCATGAAAAATGAGATGTCGTTGACTGGTTGATTGATTGATTGAGACAGGATCTTGCTCTGTGGCTCAGGCTAAAGTGCAGTGGCATGATCATGATTCACTGCAGCCTCGACCTGCTGGGCTCAAGTGATTCTCTCGTTTTGGCCTCCCCAGTAGCTGAGACTACAGGTGCAGACCACCATGCCCAGTTTGTTTTTTTTTTAATTATTTTCAGACCACCATGCCCAGCTTTCTTTTTCTTTCTTTCTTTTCTTTTCTTTTTTTTTTTTTTTTTTAATAATTTTTAGGGATAAGAGCTTGCTATGTTGCTCAGGCTGGTCTTGAACTCTTGGGCTCAAGCAATCCTCCTGCCTCAGCATCCCAAATGTTATGATTACAGTCATGAGCCACCGTGACCAGCCGAGCAGTCATTTAAAGGTTAGGCTTAAAACTATTATAGGATTAGATCTGATCTTGAAATGGAAAATAAGGAGTTGGCTTGCCAAAAACACCCCACTGATTCCTGTTCAATGACTTTTAGTGAATCTAAAAATTTCTGTACTTTCCTTCCTGTTTCTCCTTGTGATCATAGGAAGCTCTCTTCCTACGACCACATTCAAATTCTGGGCTAAAAGATGCTGTATCAGCGGAAGCATGATTTTACATGGCAATGATTCTAATATGTTGCTGTCAAAGTCTGTGTCAAGTCCAGATGTTTGAGAGGAAGCTAAAATGACAGCACCAAATAAGAGTATCTTTTGCTCGTGTGTTTGCTAACAGCACGAATGTGTCAAACTTGAGGAAATGTATCTATAAGGTCCTGCACGATGTTAAAGGAAGCACCTATATATTCTTATCCCAGGAACTCTGTAAGCCACCAGAATACTTTAACTGATGGCAATGAGTCTCAGTTTGTGCTGAGACAGACATCGTGGCACTGTCTCCTCTCACGGCACTGTGCCTTTTGTACAGCTCTTGGGAACACACATAGACACTAGAGAGGGCATACAGGAATCTTAGGCTGAGCAGGGCTGAAATCAGGGTATGTTGACATTTCCCATAGGTGCACTCAGAGTTCTAAGTGCTTTGAACTGTTTTTTTCTGATTTATTTTACTCATTTAGTCTTACCTAGATATGTTTATTTGTGATTATATGCTTAGCACCTGCTTTGCAAAATCCAGTAAAGAATTCCCAATTAATATCTGTGGCATTTTTTCTTCTCTTTCATTCGAGCTCCTGAATCTTTTTCCATCTTTTCCATCTGTGTATCCCCAGCAGTGGGAGCAGTGGCTGGCTCATAAGAGGAACTCAAAATCTGTACTTATTAAATGAATAACTTTGCAGTGTTTTGACCTCCAAAAGGAACTCAGTCCTTTGAGGTTGATTCTACATAAATGAAGCAGAGAGGATAGAGAAGGTATTGGACTTTACATGTTGACTCTGATATTTATTAGCCGTATCTTAACTAAGGAAGCTAACCTCTTGGCCTCGATCCCATCCTATAAAATGGGGATAATATCTAACTGCCTCACAGGTTTCCAACAAGGACTAAACGATGGAGTGTATGTGATGCTCCTGGCACAGAGTGGTGTTCATGATCATGGCTGTAAGTCTTCTAAGAGTTAAGTGGTTGAGAACGAGGACTTTAGAATAAGACCATGGCCCTAGTCTGCCATTGTCTTGCTGTGTGATACATGTAAATCACATGGCACTGAGCCTGGCACATAGTGAATGATGGGTAAATTAGTACCATTATTATTAACAAAAGTCAATTATCATTATGGATATTATTAAGTTACTTCTCTAAAACAACATATAACAATATTCAAATCCATTTAGAAGGAAGAGAAATAAAATTTTAGAAGAACTCAGGATGAGAAAATTCTGTAACACAGCACCAAATTTAGCTTTGGGTTTCTGGGCAACCATGGCAATAGAAAGAAACACAACAGGTTACATCATGATTATCAGTTATAATTAGTTCACTAGAGCTGTACCTCCCAGTACAGGAACTGGTGGCCACTGTTGGCTGTTGAGCATTTGAAACGTGGCTCATAGGAATGATGACATGCTGTAAAAGTAAAATACCCTGAATCTTGAAGATCTACTATGAAAAAATAAAGTATCTCATTAATAAACTTTTATATTGGTTGCACATGGAAATTGTGGTATCTTGGTTATTTGGATTAAATAAAATGTATTATTAAAATTACTTTCACTTATTTCTTCTGACTTTTAGTATGGCTATAGAAAATAAAAAATTTCATGTGTGGCTTCCATTTGTGGCTCACATTATATCTCAGTCAACATTAAACTGTCTTTTTAATCTCAGTATTCTAAGTAGAATTTATATTATTTATATTTTTATATTAATATAAAATATCATAATTATAAAATCATTATATAATTATATATTATAAACATTATAAATATATAATAAAATGTATAATGCATGGTAGAAATATATTAATATATAACAAATATCTATAATGATTAATAAAATATATTTATAAAATAGAATGTTATATGTTAGTTTATTATTATATACTTTCTATTATTTATAAAAGGCTTTGGATGTTCAAATGGGTAATATCTTCACCTACAATTTTAAAGAAAATTTGATAACTATCTTGGCAGGGAGAGAAGTATTAATACTAATAATCACAATAGCTACCATTTATTGAATGCTTCCATATGTGCCAGACACAGTCCTAGTTTCTTTACATATACCAGTCATTTAAAAACTCATAAGTGGTGCAATGAGCTGGATGTTTACGTTTTCCCCCAAATTCATATGTTAAAACCTTATCACTATCACTAGGTGATGGTATGAGGAGGTGGAACTTTTGGAAGGTGATTGGCTGAATGGCATTGGTGCCCTTATAATGGAGGCCCAGACTGGGCGCGGTGGCTCACACCTGTAATCCCAGAACTTTGGGAGGCCGAGGTGAGTGCATCACCTGAGGTCAGAAGTTCGAGACCAGCCTGGCCAAAATGATGATACCCTGTCTCTACTAAAAATACAAAAAAATTAGCTGGGCATGGTGGCACATGCCTGTAGTCCTAGCTACTTGGGAGGCTGAGGCAGGAGACTCACTTGAACCCAGGAAGTGGAGGTTGCAGTGAGCTGAGATCACGCCACTGAACTTCTGCCTGGGTGACAGAGCAAGACTCTATCTCAAAAAAAAACAGGCTCAGAGAGTTGCCTTACCCCTTCTACCAGGTGAGGACACAGCAAGAAGGCACTGCTTATGAACTGGGAAGCAGCCCACACCAGAAACCAAATATGCCAGTGCCTTGGTCTTGAACTTCCCAGCCTCCAGAACTGTGAGAATGACATTTCTGTTGTTTATAAGCCACCAATTTATGGTATTTTGTGATAGCAGCCTAAACAGACTAAGACAAGTGGTATGATTATTCTTACATTAAACCAAAACCCTTCATAACTGGCATAAGATACAAAAATATCTTCTTCTACCTCTTTGGTATCATTCACAGCATTGACAAAGATGCAGTAAGTGGGTGTTCCATCTACTGCTCAATAAGTGGGTGTTGGTCAGTAGAATACCTCCTCTTTCCCTATGTCCCTCAGCTCAGTAATAGCAAGATATTTAAAGATCTATGAAATTAGGGAATACATTGTCACCTGGAATTTTGTTGTGATTTGCAGTCTGCAAGAAGAACATTGTGTGAGAAATATCAAGTGAGAGTGGAAGAGTCTGCGGAGGGCCTCCCTGGGGCTCACCTGTGCTTTTGCCTGAGCTTCACCGTGTCAAGGTAAACTGAGTCAGAAAACCATGTGGGCAAAAAGCATCTCCAGTTTTTTTTTAAAGCTCAAGTACTGTGAAGAAATATGTTACAGCTTGTTTTGAAGGAGTCCATAAAAAAAGTCTCAAAGAGGCTGGGCGTGGTGGCTCACGCCTGTAATCCCAGAACTTTGGGAGGCCGAGGCGGGTGGATCACGAGGTCAGGAGATCGAGACCATCCTGGCTAATGCGGTGAAACCCCATCTCTACTAAAAATACAAAAAATTAGCCGGGTGTGGTGGCGGTCGCCTGTAGTCCCAGCTAGTTGGGAGGCTGAGGCAGGAGAATGGTGTGAACCCGGGAGGTGGAGCTTGCAGTGAGCCAAGATCGTGCCACTGCATTCCAGCCTGGGCGACAGAGCCAGACTCTGTCCCCCCCAAAAAAAAAAAAAAGAAAAAAAGAAAAGAAAAGTCTCAAAGAATAGTTTTCCTAAGAGTTAAAGGTGTAAAAGACAGCAAATGAATCTGGTCTGCTTGTCCCCAGCCCTATATACTCAACTGAGACCAACAGAAAGAAACCATGCAATTTAGGAAGATACATTTTAAAGTTTAACTGCAAGCCAAAAATATAAAAATGAGTCCTGCTCTAATTGTGAATTGCAAGTAGAGCCAAGAAAACCTGTATCTAGTTTAGAAGTCAAGACCTCTGGAGATGGGGAAAGCTTAGAAGTCACTTGTATTAGCCTGTTCTCACACTGCTAGTAAAGACATACCCAAGACTGGGTAATTTATAAAGGAAAGAGGTTTAATAGACTCACAGTTCCATATGACTGGGGAAGCTTCACAATCATGGCAGAAGGCAAAGGAAAAGCAAAGGCACGTATTAAATGGCAGCAGGCAAGAGAGCTTGTGCAGGGGAACTCTCATTTATAAAACCATCAGCTCTCGTGAGACTTATTCGTTACCACAAGAACAACATGGGGGAAAGTGCCCCCATGATTCAATTATCTCCACCTGGCTCTGCCCTTAACACATGGGGATTATTACAATTCCAGGTGAGATTTGGGTGGCGACACAGCCAAACCATATCGCCATTCAAAAGAGAGTTGCAGAGGTGGGTGTAGCTTTGGAAAATAGGTCTAATGAGCAAAGAATATGGTAGTTTATGTTATTTTTCTGAGGAAAAGCGAGGAAGTTAGTCGTGATTTAAAATACATGGACATTATTGTACTAGTGTACAGCAGGATTCCATCTGTACTAATGCTGGACAGAATGAATGGTCTTAATTGATCTTAAATGTGGATTTAGGTTTAAAGCTAAAAGAATTTCAAGTCTGAATTGTAAACCACTGGTCTGGGCTAGCAGTGGAAGGTGAATATCTTTCTTCCTGGAAGTCATTCCATCCACTAAGCTCTTAGCTACCTGTGACAGTTTGAAGGTGTTCCATTAGATGAAACTGAGTCCTTGGCCATGCTCATTGGAAGGCAGCACACTACACATAGCGGTCCTCTCTAAAAACAGTGACCTTGACCTGCACAAACCATTTTGACAACAGCTGTCCTAAATTTAGGGTGCTTCATCTGTGTCTTATTAGTTCTCAAAACACACAGGGAGGTAGGAGGGATGCAGTTACTCATTCTTTTACAGGACTGAGTTTGAGAAAATGAAATATAGAGCTTCAGGAATTGGCCCTCATTTGCATAAGTGGATCCAGGGTCACAAAGAAAATGCTTTCTGTAAAATATAAAGCTGTTCCTTAAGGCTGTGAGACAATTTGCAGGAAAAACTTTTGAATGTTACGCTTTCTGAATTGCAGCAAATACATTTTAATTCAAAACTCCTTGCACGTGACCAGTATAAAATACCCATGACTGAGGCAATGTTTCACATTTCCACAGGGTCATTCTTCAGTAGTTGATGAAGGCACAAAAATGCACTATGTTGGATCATTAGATCTGTGGAGCCCACAGAGCCCTCCACACCTTGCCACAAATCAGAATACAAATTTGTCTGATCAGCTAGGCATGGCTCATGCCTGGAATCCCAGCACTTTGGAAGGCTGAGGCAGGAGGATTGCTTGAGTCCAGGAGTTCAAGACCAGCCTGGGCAACGTAGTGGTACCTCCTCTCTACAAAAAATAAACATTAGCCAGGAATGGTGGTGCGTGCCTATAGTCCCAGCTACTCGAGAGGCTGAAGTGAGAGGCTCTCTTAAGCATGGGAGATCGAGGCTGCAGTGAGCCGTGATCACACCACTACACTCCAGCCTAGGCAACAGAGCAAGACCCTGTCTCAAAAAACAACAACAACAAATTCTTCTGATCACATTGGCAAGATTCTGCAGCTTAAAAGTTGCATGGTTTATTCATTTCAATGAACTACAATTTTTGTTCCAATACAAACATCTCAGTAAAGCCACTGATGATCAGAACCTAAAACTACAGCTAACTGAAACCTGACTCCAATGTTGGTGGTTTTTAACAGCTGTGTATGTGGAAGCTGTGTAGCAAGTAGAAACTCATTTGCAGCAGACACAAAGGGCTGCTACTGCCATGGCCATGACTCATCTCGATTCATAAATGTAGACGTGGCTCTTAGGCACTTTAGATTGAGATACAAGTTGATTTTTTAAAAATATTTATGTCGAGCTAAGGTAAAAACATTTTTAGCATCAGAGCATAAAACAAATAACAATTTAAGATAAGCATGAGGGGCCAGGCGCGGTGGCTCATGCCTGTAATCCCAGCACTTTGGAAGGCCGAGGTGGGCAGATTACGATGCCGGGAGTTCGAGACCAGCCTGACCAACATGGTGAAACCCTGTCTCTACTACAAATGCAAAAATTAGCCAGGCATGGTGACATGCGCCTGTAATCCCAGCTACTCAGGAGGCTGAGGCAGGAGAATCGCTTGAACCTGAGAGGCAGAGGTTGCAGTGAGCCGAGATTGCGCCATTGCACTCCAGCCTGGGTGACAGAGCGAGACTCCATTGCGCGCACGCGCACGCACACGCGCACACACACACACACACACACAAAAGATAAGCATGACGGATCTCTGGCTTTATCATGATTATCTTTATTGAAAGGGTCCAAGGAGAATAACAAAGATTTCAAAAAGTTCGCTGTGTCTCTTCCAGCATCGCACCACTGGACAGTCTGGGGGCACCCGTGATTGTCATTGAGGTGCTTTTTGTTTATTTGTGGGTTCAGAAATTAGCTCATAATCCATGCTGGGCTGGTTAGGATTGGCCTCAGTGTGATGATGGTTAACCCACTGACCATTACATTCAGAGCCTCCTGCTTGTCAAGGCCACAGCCATTGCCATTGACTCCTTCAAGTTCCTTCTGCTCTCCCGGTTGCCCCTGCTCCTCTCCAGGCTGCCATGGGTGTAAATAGTTGCTCATAAGTCTTGTGGGCTGAGTCCTGGGCTTTATTATTTGACTATTTAGTGAGCCTTTTCCAGGTGCTAGTTGTTGAAGAGAATATAAAAGAAATGGGAAACCTTTGCTCCCCCAGGGAATGCAGTCCAGCCAGGGAACAAATGTAGCACACACAAGGCAATCAAGTCTCAGGAGAAGGCTGTGCGGGAGGAAGTGGCCATGTGGGCCAGGAAAGCCAGGGCGGGGGAAGAAAGGGGCCGCCTGGGAGGCTGAGGACCTCATCAGGAAGGAGATGGGGCAGCAGCTGGATCCAGAGGATGGGGGTGGTTTGGCTGGGCAGAGAGCAGAGCGGACACTTACTGTTTGTAGCTGTTACTGAAATGTCATGCGTGCTTGTCTTATCTCCCAGCTGGATTGCACACTCCTTGGGGTAGTGACCTTTCCCTTGGTAATCCGCACAGAGCCATGCATACAGTAGGAGAATAATACACCTCTGCGAAATGAGGTCGTTCTGAAAGTGTTCAGAAATAAAGTCAGGAAGTTAATTCGCAGTTATTGAAACTGCTAATATTGGTAATGAGACATCTTTTGAAAATCACTGTTATTCTCTTCTGAACATCTCAATGCATATATTCATGATAAAGCTTGACTGGTTATCTTAAATTGTTAATTGTTTCATGCTGTGATGTTGACAAGGTTTTTTCTTAAACCCAACATGAGGAATGTTTAAAAAACAAACTTTTATCTCAGCCTAAAGTGCATAAGAGCCACTTCTACAAAGCAGGGAGTGTGATTTGCAAAACATGGCCTAGAGGAACTGGCATTTTGTTTTGTTTTGTTATGTTTTGTTTAATAATTAGGAGATGAGATCATTGAACTTGGAAGCCTGATAGCAATGGGAAGCCGACTCTGGACTGCAGATGTAGAAGATCCACTGGGTGGGATTTGTCCATGTGCATAGTGTGCAGTGAGGCTGCAGTGTAGGTAGTGACGGGGCTCCCTGTCCCCACCTGCTCCCCTGGACCCAGGAACTAGAGGTGAAACTAAGAAAGGAAATTATGGCAAAGAGAAAGACTGCATGTGGAAGGCAAGGAGTATCTTCACACAAATGCGTTTTCCCTATTTTTTTTTTGTCTTCCAAAGAAAAAATGAGAGCAAACCCAGTTCCCAGATAAAAGAATCAGAATACCCTCCCACACACCTGCCCTCATGTGACTGAGGCACTTGGCCAGTTCATAAACAAGCCATGGTGATGACCTATAACAGACGCGTCCTGACCTGGCAGACCGCAGGGGACGTGAAGAAGCTTGGCCTGAAATATTCTGACGTGTCCCAGCCTCACACTCACATAGTTCCTGGGCACCCAGAAAGATGGGGCCTAGGAATACTCTTATTGAGAATCTGGCATGAATGAATCACACCAAAGACTGCCAGCTAAGTGAGAGATTTACAGTCTCCAGCCTTGAGTTCTGAGTGTTTTCAGATGTGGACAGGGTCTGAGACTCTCACGTGACAAGCCATGGGCCCTATGCCGAGGCAGACTCCTGCTCTGTGCTGCTCCTAGGGAACCACGGCAGCTTCGAAATGCATTCTAATCTGCCCTCTTATTGTGACAGTTTATATTGTACTTAGAACCTAAAATTAAGACTCTAAACTGAGAAGAGTAACAGGCTCTCCAGTAGCCACTGTGGATTTGCATGCAAAGTGCAGACTGACATTTGAAACTCTTCACTTTTTACCCGCCACTCATCTTTCCAACCTTGTCACCCAGATCATCTGAGTGGTCTCCGTCCCTGAATCCCTGCATGCACTTTTGCTTTCTGTCCTTCCCTCTCCCTCAGTTCACTCCCACCAGCCATGATTTGAATGTTTGCCCCTTCAAACCTCGGGTTGAAATTTAATTTCCATTGCAATGGTATTGGAAGGTGGGACCTTTAAGAAGTGTTTGGGTCATGAAGGCTTTGTTTTTCTTATTGTGGGAATGGGTTTGTTATCCTGGGAGGGGAGGGGGTTGACCCCTCTTGCTGCCTCTCCCTCTCCCCCTTTCTGCCCTTCCTCTATGTGATGCCTTCTGTCGTGTTATGACAGAGCAAGAAGGCCCTTGCCAGATGCTAGCAGTTTGATCTTGGGCTTTCCAGCTTCCAGAACTGTCAGCCAATAAATTGCTGCTCATTGTAAATTACCCAGTCTATGCTATTCTGTTATAGCAACATAAAACAGATTAACACACCACCCTTTCTGTCTAGTGACATCTCATTTGTCTCTCAAGGCCCTACTCAAATGCTACCTTGTGCTTGAAACTATCTGTTTAATCAGCCTCCCTTAGAGTGATCCTTCCTTCTCCTCCCAGAAAGGCCCACATATATTGCTTTAGAACAATCATGTTTGGTAAAATGAATAATCTACCAATTTTAGCTTGATGACCCATCGCTCAATGTAATTTATTAAGCTCACTTTGCCACATCAGGTACAGATTTAGACACTAAGAGGAACAGAGATGCAAAGAAAACCAATGAGCTAACAGAACACTGGACTCTAGTTTGCACACTGATGTGCAGTATTTCTAATGTACCCATAAACATATTATTATGCAACATTTATACAAAGGTTTAAATTTCATATCAATAATTATTCTCTTTAATATAGAAGTATAGTATTATATGTATAATAAATATTTAAACATACTGTATATTTTATATTTAAAATATACTTATAAATCTATTATTTGTACTTATTTCTAAATGTGAACTGAAGAATTTGTTTAAAATATAGATGCCTGGGTCCTGCCCCAGGGTTCTGATTCACTTATTCCTGGATGAGGCCAAACGATCTGTGTTTTCATGTAGAGATTCCTAGGCTAGTGGTCCAAGGACCTGCTGGGAGAGACGCAGGGGCTTCCAGACTATAGGCGAATTTAAACATTTTCTGGTTGACAATTGATTTAGTTTGTCTCAAGACCTGGCGTCAATAGAAAGAAATGTTCAGGTTAAGATAAAAGATTGTGGAGACCAAGGTTCTTTTGAAGTCTTATACAGGCTGCCCTTAGAGGCAATAGATGACAAATGTTTCCTATTCAGACCTTTAAAAGGTGCTAGACTCTTAGTTAATCTCTTGAGGATTGGGAGGGCCTGGAAGAAAAAGATCTAGCTATGTTAATAGAGATTCTTTACAGATGCAAATTTTCCCCCACATAGGACAGCTTTGCAGGGCTATTTCAAAATAGGGCAAAGAAACATGTTTTGGGGTAAAATATGACTTTCTTCCTCGTCACATAATGTTATGCCGGAGTCAGATTGGAAAGTAAGTCACAACATATAGGGTTAAATAAAACCCAGCTCATGAGAATTGATGGTTTGTAGGGCATGACTCTCCAGACCCCTTAGATAGGAATTTGGGCAAGAGAAAAAAAAAAAAATCAAAGCTTAGTCCTCACGGTCCTCTCCCAGTGCTGGACTCGGTGAGAACCCTGTGTACTGGCTAATTTTATGTGTCAGCTTGGCTGGGTTATGATGCCCAGATACATGGTCAAATATTATTCTGGGTGTTTTTGTGAGGGTGCTTTTGGATGATATTGACATTGAAATCAGTGGACTTTGGGCCAGGTGTGGTGGCTCATGCCTGTAATCCCAGCACTTTAGGAGGCCAAGGTGGGCAGATCACTTGAGGTCAGGAGTTCGAGACCAGCCTGCTCAAAATGGCAAAACTCTGCCTCTACCAAAAAATACAAAAATTACTGGTTGGCCTGAAGTCCAAGCTACTCAGGAGGTTGAGGTAGGAGAATCTCTTGAACCCAGGAGGCAGAAGTTGCAGACAGCTAAGATCACACCAGTGAACTCCAGCATAGGGGACAGAGTAAGAGCCTGCCTCAAAAAAAAAAAAAAAAAAAAAAAAATTCCATGGATTTTGAAAGTAGTTTGCCCTCCATAATGTGGGCAGGCCTTATCCAGTCAGTTGAAGGCCTGAATAGAAAAAAAGCCTGACCTCCCCTGAGCAAGAGGGAATTGTATCAGCAGTCAGCCTTCGGACCTGAACTGCAATGTCGTCTCTTCCTTTAGTTTCCAGCCTGCTGGCCCACCCGACTGATTTTGGACTTGCCAGCCTCCATAATCACGTGCACCAATTCTTTACAATAAATTTCTTTCTATCCATGCTGTAAACCAAAAAGTGTCTGAAACAGGTCTCAATCAATTTAGAGGTTTATTTTGCCAAGGTTGAAGATGTGCCTGGGAAGAAGAGACACAGCTGCAGACAGGTCTGTGGCCTCTGCTTTTTCCAAAGAGGGTTTTGAGGACGTCAATATTTAAAGGGGAAAAAGTGAGCAGGAGGAGGAAGAGGAACAGTTAATTACGCATTTATCTTGCACTCTGTAAATCTGCATTTTATATAAGATAGAGTAGAAGAAGGTGGGGAGACAATTTCCGGTCTTGTCTTTGTCCCCTACCTGTGAAGATATGCTGTTAGTTTACATTGTCAGGGTGAGGGAGGCCACCTGGGGGAAATATGTGGCCTTCTATCTTGTAGCTATCTGTTTAGGAACAAAACAAAGGCATTTTTTTGTTTTGTTTTGTTTTTTGTTTTGTTTTGAGTCGAAGTCTCACTCCGTCACCCAGGCTGGAGTGCAATGGCGTAATCTTCAGCTCACTGCAACCTCCACCTCCCAGGTTCAAGCAATTCTCCTGCCTCAGCCTCCCAAGTAGCTGGGATTACAGGTGCCTGCCACCATGCCCGGCTAATTTTTGTATTTTTAGTAGAGATGGGGTTTCACCATATTGGCCAGGCTGGTCTCTTGGCCAGGCTGGTCTCAAACTCCCGACCTCATGATCTGCCTGCTTTGGCCTCCCAAAGTGCTGGGATTACAGGCATGAGCCACTGTGCCCGGCCTGGAAGGCTGTTTTTTTGTGTGACTCAGTTCCCAAGCTTAACTTTTCCCTTTGGCATCATGAGTTTGGGGGTCCCAAGATTTTTGTTTCCTTTCACAATGCTCTTGGTTCTGTTTCTCTTGAGAACCCTGACTAATATGCCCATGATCATTTGAACTCAGCTCCTTACTGTGGAGCACATGCAATCAAACTCCATGCCCGTGCCTCCTGGCACATGTAACAAGAGGCTCAACTCCATCAGAACCATATAGGGAACCCATGGAAAGTGCAGGTTCCTGGTCTGCCTCCTCAGAGGCTCTGACTCAGCAGGGCTTGGTTGGCTCTGAAATATGCAATTACAGAGCAGTTGGCTATTTTTTTTAGTATGTGACTCTAAATCATTTCAAAATGTGAGTTCCTCTAGTACAGAGCACTGTGAAAAGCACAAACATAAATAAAAACCAGTCCTTCTGGGGATTTCAGAAATCAAGCAAGAAATTCTATTTTGCAGTATTTTTGAGTAACAGAACCACACTGACCCATTGTGCTTGGTTGAATAGCATCACCCAAAAATACATGTTTTTCCCGGAACCTCAGAATGTGATTATATTTGGAAATATGGTTGTTGCAGAGGTAATTAGTCAAGTTAAGATGAGGTCATGCTGGAGGAGGGCAGGTCATTAATTCAGCATGACTAGTGTCCTTATAAGAAGAGGAAAAGAGACACAAGAGACAGACACAGAGAGAAGATGGCCATGTGATGACCGACGCAGAGATTGGTGTTACATAGCTGTAAACCAGGGGATGTCAAGGATTTCTGGCAACCACTGGAACCCAGGAGAGAGGCTTGGAACAGATTCTCTGCTTCAGAGTCCCCCAGAAGGAACCAACATTTCTCACACCTTGAGTTTGGACGTCAAGCTTTCATAACTGGGAGAGAATAAATTTCTGTTGCCAACCAGTTTGTGGTACTTTATTATAGCAGCCCTAGAAAACTAATATGCCCACCCACTGTAAACAACTGGAAAATGGGACAAAATACATAAAACAACTATTTTCAGACATTGAACAACTGGTAGTGCAGGTCTGTGATCCTTGAGAGAAGGCAAACCAATGGGGTGGGGCAGCACCCATGTGAACAAGCATCGCAATCAGGGCTAAGTGTGGCAAGTTCTGCATTTGTAGTACTGGGTCCCTACTGGAAGGAACTTTTCACAATAGGCAGCAGCTGGTTATCTAAACTGCTGCATTCCCAGCTGTAGCCTGCACAGTGCTGTTTAGATTGGGCACTAAGTAAAATAATTGAGGAATATTCTTGGATCACATTTCCTAAGCTGACTGTCTTTGAAGGTTTGGACCTATAACAGTGATTCTCAACCCTGGCTGAACATTAGAATTACCCGAAGAATGTTTTCAACCGTGGGTGCTGGGGCCGCATCTCAGACGAATTAAATGTAGATCTACTAGAGAGGCGGGATCCAAGCATTACTGTTTTTTTACAACCTCCTCAGATGAGTGTATCGTGCAGCCAAAGAAGAGACTCATAGATCTTTATCCTACTTTCCAACCACTCACTAAGCCTCTTTTAATAATCCTGCTAAAACCTAATGTAAACAGATATTTTTCATGTGGGTGTCCTATAAGTTACTATCTAATATTACTTAAGCGCATGCTTGCATATTCTTCCAAATAGGTAGACACTTTGTGTCACAGGTTATTGTCCTGTTAGTGTCTTCCCACTCCACTCTAGGCACTTTTCCTCTGAGAGCCACACCACAGCTTCTTGATGCCCATGAGGGGATTCCTGGAGTTGCTGCAGGTCCTCTCATCCACTAATGTGAAAGCAGG